>NT_187362.1:0-32032 GCF_000001405.40 Homo sapiens
AGGGGTCTGCTTAGAGAGGGTCTCATTAGTGGGGTCTAGTAGTGGGGTTTTGGTGAGTGGGGACCTATTGGCTGCCAGTTGTTTGGTGTCTGGTCAGTGCAAACCTGGGCTGTGGGGCTTGATCAGTGGAGACCTGGTCAGCTGGGGCTTAGTGCTGGCCTGGTCAGCATGGGCTGGGGCACTGGTGACCAGGTCAAGGGGTGCTATTCAGTGGAGGAGTGGGCACATGGGACCTAGTCAGCAGACCCTGGTGGGCGTGTCCTCATCAGTGAGGTCCTTGTCAGTGGGGCCCTGGTCAGGGCAGCCTTGTCAGCGGGACCTAATCTGTAGCGTCCTGGTCAGAGAGGACTTGGTCAGTGGTGACTTTTGCAGTACTAGTCTACAGGGTGACCTGGTCAGCGGGGATCTCAGCATTTGGTGCCAGTTCAGTGGGGTCTACTCACTAGGGTCCCAGTCAGGGGCATCTGGTGATCTTAGGCCTGGTTATTAGGGGCCTGATCAGTGGCAACCTGTTCCCTGGAGGTCTGGTCAGTGGGGCCTCATCTTTGGGGCCAGGGAATGAGGTCATGATCAGTGGAACCTGATCAGTGAGGCCTTGTCAATAATGACATAGTCAGTGAGGACTTGTCAGTAAGGACTTGGTCCATGAGGCCTTGTCAGTGAGGCCTTGTCAGTAAGGTCCTGGTCAGTGGAGTCCTTGTCATTGTGTGCCTGGCAGTGGGGCCCTTGTTAGTGGGGCCTGGTCATGAGGTTCTAATCAGTGAGGGTTTCATCAGGGAGGACCTGATGTGCGGGGTCTGGTCAGCAGGGACCTGGTCAATGTGGGCTGCTGAGCACTGCTTGGATAAGCCAGGTGCAATGTGCATTATTGAAGGCCTTGTGGACAGCTGGGATAGCCCAGTGATGCCCAAGGGCCTAGTCAAAAGTGGACAAAGCACGTATTTGGATGGACCTGGGAGATCCTGCTCAGAGATCCTGACAGGACAAAGGTAAAGGAAGGGCCAGAGTGACTGGAGAGATGGTCACAGTCTATGGGCTGCACAGGATGGAGGAGGCCAGGGAAAAGGCAGGGTGGGCAGTTGGGGTTCAGGGAGAGGCAGGTGCATGCTGGGAGGTCAGACCCTGTGAAGGCTTTGGGGGCGTCAGGTTGGGTAGGCTCCAGGCACTCTCGCTCACATAGGATTCCAGAACACTGCTACAAGGCTCTGAGTGTTTGTCCCTCACATAGGATTCCAGAACACTGCTGCCATTGTCTGAATGTTTGTCCCCCACATAGGATTCCAGAAGCCTGCTGCTGGGGTCTGAATGTTTGTCCCCCATCTAGGATTCCAGAACACTGCTGCGAGGGTCTGTATGTCTTTCCCTCACATATGATTCTAGAACATTGATGCTAGGGTCTGTATGTTTGCCCTTAACATATGATTTCAAAACACTGCTCCTGGATTCTGAATGTTTGTCCTTCACATAGGAATACAGAACACTGTTGCTGGAGTCTGAATGGCTGTCACTCACATAGAATTCCAGAACACTGCTGTGAGGATCTGAAAGTTTGACCCTCACATGGGATTCCAGAACACTGCTGCGAGTGTCTAAATGTCTGTCCCTCACACAGGATTCCCGAACAATGTTACGAGGTTCTGAATGTTTGTCCCTAACATAGGATTCCAGAGCACTCCTGCTGTGCTCTGAATGCTTCTCCCTCACATAGGATTCCAGAACACTGCTATGAGGGTCTGAATGCTTATCCCTCATATAGGATTCCAGAACACTTCTGCTGTGGTCTGAATGTTTGTTCCTCACATAGGATTCCAGAATACTCCTGCCATGGTCTGAATGTTTGTCCCTCACATAGGATTCCAGAACATTCATGCTGGGGTCTCAATATTTCCCTTAACATAGGATTTCAGAACACTGCTCTTGGGGTCTGAATGTTTGTCGCTCACATAGGATTACAGAACACTGCTGCTGGAGTCTGAATGTTTGTCAGTCACATAGAATTCCAGAACACTGCTACAAGGGTGTGAATATTTCTCCCTCACCTAGTATTCCAGAACACTGTTGCAAGGGTCTGAATGTTGGTCCGTCATATATGATTCCAGAACACTGATGCTTTGGTCTGAATGTTTGTCCCTCCCATAGAATTCCGGAACACTGCTACAAGGGTCTGAATGTTTGTCCTTCACATACCATTCCAGAACACTGCTGCCGTGGTCTGAATGTATGTCCCTCACATAGGATTCCAGAACACTGCTACTAGGTTCTGAATGTTTTTCCCACACCTAGGATTCCAGAACACTTTTGCTGGTGTCTGAATGGTTGTTCCTCACATATGATTCCAGGACACTGCTACGAGAGTCTTAATGTTTGTCCTTCACATTGGATTCTAGAACACTGCTCCCGTGGTCTGAATGTTTGTCCTTCACATAGCATTCCAGAACACTGCTGCTGGGGTCTGAATGTCTGCCCCTCAAATCAGATTCCAGAGCACTGCTGCTGGGGTTTGAATGTCTTTCCCTCACATAGAATTCCAGAACACGGCTGGGAGTGTCTGAATGTTTGTCCAGAACACTGTTGCGAGGGTCTAAATGTCTCTCCCTCACATAAGATTTCAGGACACTGCTACGAGGTTCTGAATGTTTGTCCCTCACATAGGATTCCAGAATACTGCCACGTGGGTCTGAATGTTTGCCCTCACATAGGATTCCAGAACACTACTGCTGGGGTCTGAATGTTTGACCCTCACATAGGATTCCAGAACACTCCTGCTGTGGTCTGAAAGTTTGTTCATCACATAGGACTCCAGAACACTGCTAAGAGGGTATGAATGTCCCTCACATAGTATTCCAGAACACTCCTTCTGTGGTCTGAATGTTTGTTCCTCACATAGGATTCGAGAACACTCCTGCTGTGGTCTGAATGTTTGTCCCTTACCTAGGATTCGAGAACATTCACGCTGGGATGTAAATGCTTGCCCTTAACATAGGATTTCAGAACACTGCTCCTGGGGTCTGAAAGTTTGTCCCTCACATAGGATTCCAGAACTCTCCTGCTGTGGTCTGAAAGTTTGTACCGCACATAGGATTCCAGAACACTGCTGCTGTGGTCGGAATGTTTTTCTGTCACATAGGATTCCAGAACACTGCGGCTGGGTTCTGAATGTTTGTCCCTCACATAGGATTTCAGAACGCTGCTACGAGGGTATGATTGTTGGTCCCTCACATAGGATTCCTGAACACTGCTGCTGGGCTCTGAATGTTTGTCCCTCACATTGGATTGCAGAACACTACTGCTATGGTCTGAACGTTTGTCCGTCACATAGGATTCCAGAACGCTCCTGCTGTGGTCTGAATGTTTGTCTGTCACATAGGATTCCAGAACACTGCGGCTGGGCTCTGAATGTCCCTGACATAGGATTCCAGAACATTGCTATGAGGGTCTGAATGGTTGCCTTTCCCATAGCATTCCAGAACACTGCTGTGAGGGTCTGAATGTTGGTCCCTCACACAGGATTCCAGAACCCTCCAGCTGGGGTCTGAATGTTTGTCCCTCACAAAGGATTCCAGAACACTGCTATGAGGGTCTGAATATTTGTCCCTCACATAGGATTCCAGAACACACCTGCTGTGGTCTGAATGGTTGTCCCTCACAAAGGATTCCAGAACACTCCTGCTGTGATCTGAATGGTTGTCCCTCACATAAGATTCCGGAACACTTCTGCTGTGGTACGAATGTTTGTGTCTCACGTAGGATTCCAGAACACTGCTACGAGGGTCTCAATGTTTGCCCCTCACATAAGATTCCAGAACACTGCTGCTGGGGTCTGAATGCTTGTCCCTCACATACGATTACAGAACACTGTTGCTGGGGTGTGAATGTTTGTCCCTCACAAAGGATTCCAGAACACTGCCATGAGGGTCTGAATATTTGTCCCTCACATAGGATTCCAGAACACACCTGCTGTGGTCTGAATGGTTGTCCCTCACATAGGATTCCAGAACACTCCTGCTGTGGTCTGAATGGTTGTCCCTCACATAAGATTCCAGAACACTTCTGCTGTGGTACGAATGTTTGTGTCTCATGTAGGATTCCAGAACACTGCTACGAGGGTCTCAATGTTTGTCCCTCACATAAGATTCCAGAACACTGCTGCTGGGGTCTGAATGCTTGTCCCTCACATATGATTACAGAACACTGTTGCTGGGGAGTGAATGTTTGTCCCTCACATAGGATACCAGACCACTGCTGCTGAGGTCTCAATGTCTGTCCCTCAAAAAGGATTCCAGAGCACTGTTACGAGGGTCTGAATTTTTGTCCCTCACTTAAGACTGCAGAACACTGCTTCGAGGGTCTAAATGTCTGTCCTTCACATAGGATTCCAGAACACTCCTTCTGGTGTCTGAATGTTTGTCCCTCACATAGGATTCCAGAGCACTCCTGCTGTGGACTCAATGTTTGTTAATCACATAGGATTCCAGAACACTGCTACAAGGGTCTGAATGTTTGTCCCTCACATAGGATTCCAGAATACTCCTGCTATGGTCTTAATGCTTGTCCCTCACATAGGATTCCAAAACATTCATGTTGGGGTCTGAATGTTTGCCCTTATCATAGGATTTCAGAACAGTGTTCCTGGGGTCTGAATGTTTGTCCTTCATATAGGATTTAAGAACACACCTGCTTTTGTCTGAAAGTTTGTCCCTCACATAGGATTCCAGAACTCTCCTGCTGTGGTCTGAAAGTTTGTCCTTCACATAGGATTCCAGAACACTGCTGCTGTGGTTTGAATATTTGTCCCTCACATAAGATTCCAGAACACTGCTAGGAGGGTCTGAATGTTTGTCCCTCACATAGGATTCCTGAGCATTGTTGTCGTGGTCTGAATTTTTGCCATTCACATAGGATTCCAGAACAGTGCTACGAGTGTCTGAATGTTTGTCCCTCACATAGGATTCCAGAACACTTCTGCTGGTATCTGAATGTTTGTACCTCACATAGGATTCCAGAACACTGCTGCTGGGGTCTGAACGTCTGTCCCTCACATAGGATTCTAGAACACTGCTGTTGGGGTTTGAATGTCCCTCACATAGAATTCCAGAACACTGCTGCGAGTGTCTGAATGTTTGTCCTGCAGATGAGATTCTAGAACACTGCTGTGAGGGTCTAAATGTCTGTCCCTGACATAACATTCCAGCACACTGCTACGAGGTTTTGAAATGTTTGTCCCTCACATAGGATTCCAGAACACTCCTGCTGTGGTCTGAATGTTTGCCCCTCACATAGGATTCCAGAACATTCCTGCTGTGGTCTGATTGTTCCTCACATAGGATTCCAGAACACTGCTACGAGGTTCTGAATTTTTGTCCCTCACATAGGATTGCAGAACACTGCTACAAGGGTTTGAAAGTTTTTCCCTCACATAGGATTCCACAACACTACTGCTGGGGTCTGAATGTTTGTCCCTCACATAGGATTCTGGAACACTCCAGCTGGCTTCTGAGTGTTTGTCCCTCACATAGGATTCCTGAAGACTGCTGATGTCACTATAGTCGTTGCGAGTGTCTGAATGTTTGACCTTCACCAAACACTAAATATCCTGCCCTTTTAGTCTTGGACTTTCCAGCCTCCAGATCTGTGAGCAATATCTCTGTTGTTTATGAATTACTCAGTCTAAAGTATTTTGTTATAGTAGCCTAAAGAGACTAAGAGAGCATCACCTGCCCTGTCACCTCATCACCGCATTACTAAAGCTATACTAACAGCAGTCAATTTTAGTGGGTGCTTCATGCATGAGAATAAAGGGAAAAAATTGCAAGGCATACTAAAATCCAAAAAAAGAAAAAAATATAATTTGTGTCAACAGAGCAAGCTTCAGAAGCAGACAAAGATATGATTTTGGAATTTTTTTTAAACCTCTGGAGAATATGCTAAGGGCCTAATGAATGAAGTAGACAGCATTCAAGTATAGATGGGTAATGTAATCAGAAAGACAGACATCGTAAGAACCTTCAACATAATGTAGTGGTAAAAAATGTGGTAAATAACTGAAGAATACCTCTGATGGCTTATTAGTAGACTGGACTCAGCTGAGTAAAGAATCTCTGAGCTTGAGGATTTATCATCAGAAACTTCGAAAACTAAAGAAAAGAAACACTGAAAATAACAGAAGATGATATCCAAGACTGTGGGACAACTACAAAAGGTGAAACAGAGTAATGAGAATACCAGGAGGAGAAGAAATAGAAGAAAGTTCTGCAACAACCATGTCTGAGAACTTCCAGTATTAATGTCAGACACCAAACCAAAGATCCAGGAAGCTCCAAGAACACCAGGCAGAATAAATGCCAACAACGTACACTTGGACATATAATTTTCAAACTATATGAAATAAAAGATAAAGGAAAACTCTGAAAGAAACCAGAGGTGGGGCAGAAAACACCTTACCTACAGAGACACAAAGATAAGAACTGCATTCAACATTGCAGAAACTGTGAAAGCAAGAAGACAGTGAAATGAAAAATTCAAAATGTTGACAGAAAAAAACCCACCAACCTAAGTTTCTGTACCCACTGAAAACACCCTTCAAAAGTGAAGGAGAATTAAGGCCTTCCTCAGAAAAATAAAAATTCAAGAAACTTGTTGCCAGGAGACCTGTCTTGCAAGAAATGTTAAATGAAATTCTTTAGAGGGAAACAAAAGATATATAACTGAAACCTGGATCAACATTTTTTTAAAAAGAGCATTAAAGAATTGTGGTACAATAAAAACCTATGTATTTATTCTTAATTGATCTGACCAAGAAGTTCATAGACAATAACAAATACACACAGATAGATTATGTATGCTTAAACACAAGTGAAATGAGTAACACTAATACAAGGAATGGAATGGAAGGATGGGAGGGAGGAATTGTGGTACAATAAAAACATGTATTTATTCATAATTGATCTGACCAATAAGTTTGTAGATAATAATAAATACACACAGATAGATTATGTATGCTTATACACAAGTCAAATAAGGAACAATAATACAAGGAATGGAATGGAAGGATGGGAGGGAGGAATCAGGTGTTTTCTTTGTTAAGCAGGTAGTCACCCGTGAAGTGGGATAGTGTTATCTGAAAGTGGACTTGAATTGGTTGTAAATGTATATTGAGGAATTAGGTGTGTTCTTTGTTAAGCAGGTAGTCTTATTTGTGGGATAGTGGGATAGTGTTATTTGAAAGTGGACTTGAATTGGTTGTAAATGTTACTGAGGAATTAGGTGTTTTGTTTGTTAAGCAGGTAGTCTTATTTGTGGGATAGTGGGATAGTGTTATTTGAAAGTGGACTTGAATTTGTTGTAAATGTATATCGCAAATTCTGTGGCAACTAGTTAAAAAAAGTTTTAAAAAGAGAAGTACATGCTAAGAAAGACAGGGAAAATGTAGTCATCTAAAATCATCAATGAAAACTGCAAAAGGCAGAAAAAGAGTGGTAGACAAAAGAATGGAGACTGAGGAGAATGAATAGAAAACAGTAACAAATATAGTAGATATTAATCCAATGATATCAATAATCACTTTGAATGCTAATGGTATGAATGTACCAATTCAAAGATAGAGATTGTCAGAGTCTATCAAAAGACAGACACATCTTGATTCACTGCACTTTGCTTTATTGTGTTTTGTGACCATGTGTTTTACATATTGAAGGTTTGTGGCCACCCTGCAATACGCAGGTCTGACTGGCACCATTGTCCCTACAGCACGTGCTAACTTCACGTCTCTGTGTCACATTTCGGTCATTCTCGCAGTATTTTAAGATTTTTATTATTGAATCGTTATGGTGATCTGTAATGAGTGGTCTTTAATGCTACTGTTGTCATTGTTTTGGGAACCACAAATCACACCAGGATAAGACAGCAAACAATTGACAAATGCGTTTGTTCTGACTGCCCCACCAACGGGCCATTTCTCTTTCTCTCTCTTTTTCTCAGGCTTCTTTTTATTAATATTAAAATGTGGCCAATTAATAACCCTACAATAGCCTCTGTATGTTCAAGTGAAAGAAGAGTTGTATGTCTGTCACTTTAAACCAAAAGAAAGAAATAATTAAGCTTAGTGAGGAAGGCATGCTGTAAGCAAGACAGGCCAGTAGCTAGACCTCATGCAACAAACACTTAGCCAAGTTGTGAATGCAAAAGAAGTGTTCTGGAAAGAAATTTAAAGTACTACTCCAGTGAATACATGAATGATAAAAAGCTAAACAATCTTGCTGCTGTTATGAAGAAAGTTTAATTGATCTAGATAGAAGATAAAAAAAAATTCCATTAAGCCTAAGCCTAACTCTCTTTTTACTTTTTTCTTTGTTTTTGAGACAGAGTTTCATTTTTCTTGCCCAAGCTGGAGTACAATGGCATGATCTTGGCTCATCGCAACCTCTGCCTCCCAAGTTCAAGCTCTCCTGCCTCAGCATCCCGAGTAGCTGGGATTACAGGCATGCACCACCACACCTGGCTAATTTTTTGTATTTTTAGTAGAGACGGGGTTTCTCCACGTTGGTCAGACTGGTGTCGAACTCCCGACCTCAGGTGATCTGCCCGCCTCGGCCTCCCAAAGTGCTAGGATTGCAGGTGTGACAGCCACCACACCCGGCCTCTCTTCAATTCTATGAAGACTTAGAGAGGTGAGGCAGCTGCAGAAGAAGAGTCTGAAGCTAGAAGAGCTTGTTTCTTGAGGTTTAAGGAAAAAAGTCATCTCCATAACATAAAAGCGCAAGATAAAGCAGCAAGTACTGATGGAAAAGCTGCAGAAAGCTATCTAGAAGATAATTGATTAAGACGGCTACACTAAACAGATTTGCAATGGAGACAAAACAGCATTCTACTAGAAGGAGATGCCATCCAGGATGTTCCCAGCTAGAGAGGAGTTGATTCCTGGCTTTAAGGCTTCGAAGGACATGCTGACTCTTTTGTTAAGACCTAATGCAGTTGGTGATGTTAACATGAAACCAATGATGATTTACTATTCTGAAAATCCGAGGGCCCTGAAGAATTATGATAAAACACAGCTCTGCCTGTACTCTACAAATGGGAACAAAGCCTGGATGACAGACTATCGGTTTACAAATACGGTTTACTGAATATCTTAAGCCCACTGTCGACAACTACTGCTCAAGAAATAAGATTCCTTTCAAAGTATTACCACTCACTGACAATGCCGCTGGTACTCAAGGGCTTTTACAGAGATGTATAAAGAGCTGAATATTGTTTTCATGCCTACTAACCCAACATTCATTCTGGTGCCCTTGGATCAAAGAATAATTTCAACTTTCAAGTCTTATCACTTAAAAAATATATTTCATAAAGCTATAGCTTCTCTAGAAAGTGATTCCTTTGATGGATCTGGGCAAAATAATTGAAAACCTACTGGAAAGGATTCACCATTCTAGATGCCATTGAGAACATTCATGATTTAAAAAAGAAGATCAAAATAGCAACATTAGGAGAAGTTGGGGCTGGGCTTGGTGGCTCACGCCTGTAATCCCAGCACTTTGGGAGGCCAAGGCACGCAGATCATGAGGTCAGGAATTTGAGACCAGCCTGGCCAACATAGTGAAATCCTGTCTATACTATAAACAAAAAAAAAAATTAGCTGGGCCTGGTCGGGGGTGACTCTAATCCCAAACACTTGGGAGGCTGAGGCAGGAGAATTGCTTGAACACGGGAGGTGGAGGTTGCAGTGAGCTGAGATCGCATCACTGCACTCCAGCCCAGGCAAGACTTCATCTCAAAAAAATAAAAGAGAGAGAGAGAAGTTGGGAAGATTATTCCAACCCTCACTGATGACAGAGGGGTTCACCACTTCTGTGGAGGAAGTAACTGCAGATATGGTGGAAATAACAAGAGCACTAGAATCAGAGACAGAGCCTGAAGATCTGGCGAGACTGCAGCATCCTCTGGAGAAAACGTGAGAGGATGAGTTGCTTGCACGGATGAGCAAAGAAAGTGGTTTCTTCAGATGAAATCTACTCGTGGTGAAGACAGTGTAAACAATGTTGAGATGACAACAGATTTAGAATAAACTTGGTACAGCAGAAGGAAGGCTTGACAGGATTGAACCCAATGATTTAAAATAATACGTAAACTTAGTTGGTACAGCAGTACGAAGGTTTGACAGCATTGAATCCAATTTTGAAAGTTCTACTGTGGGTAAAAAGCTATCATCGTATGCTACAGATAATTCTTTTGTGAAAGGGAGAGTCAATTGACACAGCAAACTTCAATATTGTCTTTTTTTAAGAAATTGCCACAGCCACCCCAACGCTCAGCAACCACCACCTTACATTAAGGTAAGACCCTCCATCAGCAAGAAGACTGAAACTTGGCCAGGTGCAGTGGCTCACACCTGTCATCCCAACACCTTGGGAGGCCAAGGTGGGTGGATTTCTTGAGCCCAGGAAGTCGAGGCAACATGGCAAAACCCCATCTCTACAAAAAAAAATACAAAAATTAGCTGCACACGGTGGCATGCACCTGTAGTCCCAGCTAGTCAGGAGTCTGAGGTGGGGGTTTGATTGAGCATGAGGTTGAGGCTGCAATTACTCCAGCCTGAGCCACAGAGTAAAACCCTGTCACGCACACAAAAAAAGATTGCAGCTTTCTGAAGGCTCAGATGACTGTTAGCACTTGTTAACAATAAAGTATTTGTAAATTAAAGTGTGTATACTTTGTAGACAAATGCTATTGCACACTTTATACAGCACAGTATAAACATACTTTTACATGCACTGGGAAACCGAAAGAAATTGTATAAAACTTTATTGCAGTGGTCTGGAACCAAACCCACATATATCTCTGATGCATGGCTGTCCTGTATTGTACACTTAAAAAAATACTTAAGAGGGTATATTTTATGTGAAATGGTCATCTCATTTTTTTTGAGACGGAGTCACACTCTGTTGCCCAGGCTGGAGTGCAGTGGTACGATCTCGGCTCACTGCAAGCTCTGCCTCCCGAGTTCACACCATTATCCTGCCTCAGTCTCCCGAGTAGCTGGGACTACAGGTGCCCGCCATCAAGCATGGCTAATTTTCTGTATTTTTAGTAGAAACGGGGTTTCACTGTGTTAGCCAGGATGGTCTTGATCTCCTGACCTCGTGATCCACCTGCCTTGGCCTCCCAAATTGCTGGGATTACAGGTATGAGCCGCCACTCCCGGTCTCATTTTTTAAAAAGGGTGAGAATGAGAAATATATGGGGAGTGATTGTCAAGTTTACGGCATTATTTGTTGTGATGAGTCCTGGGGCGAATACTTATCTCTATACTCATTAAGATGTATATATTCGGTGTCACACGCCTGTAATCCCAGCACTTTGGGAGGCCGAGGCAGGTGGATCATCTGCGGTCAGGAGTTCGAGACCAGCCTGGCCAACATGGTGAAACCCTGTCTCTACTAAAAAAATACAAAAATTAGCCAGGCGTGGGGGCGCATGCCTGTGATCCCAGCTACTGAGGAGGCTGAGGCAGGAGAATTGCTTGAACCCGGGAGGCGGAGGTTGCAGTTAGCTGAGATCGTGTCACTGCACTCCAGCCTGGACAACAAGAGTAAAACCTCCGTAACACACACACAAACACACACACACACACACACACACACACACACACACACACGGTATATATTAAATATGTGTAATTTTTGTGTGTCAACCACACCTTAGCTTTATTTTATTTTATTTTTTTGAGACAGAGTCTTGCTCTGTCACCCAGGCTGGAGTCCAGTGGCGCAATCTCAGCTCACTACAAGCTCCACCTCCCAGGTTCACACCATTCTCCTGCCTCAACTTCCGGAGTAGCTGGAACTACAGGCACCCGCCACCACGCCTGGCTAATTTTTTGTATTTTTAGTAGAGATGGCGTTTCACTGTGTTAGCCCGGATGGTTTCGATCTCCTGACGTGATCTGCCTGCCTCAGCTTCCCAAAGTGCTGCTATTACAGGTGTGAGCCACCGCGCCCAGACAATTTTTATTTTTTTGAGACAGAGCCTCACTCTGTCACCCAGGCTGGAGTGCAGTGGCACTATCTTGGCTCACTGCAACCTCTGCTTCCCATGTTCAAGCAATTCTCCTGCCTCAGTCTCCCGAGTAGCTGGGAATACAGATGCATGCTATCACGCCTGGCTAATTTTTTCATTTTTAATAGAGATGAGGTTTCACCATGTTGGCCAAGCTGGTCTCAAACTCCTGACCTCATGTGATCTGCCCACCTCAGCCTCCCAAAGTGCTGGGATTACAGGTGTAAGCCACTGCACCCGGCAATTTTTTAATACATATAATTAAAAATTAATAAAAAACAGGTATTTGCAAGTTTCTGTTTTGTTATATGCTTATTATTCTTTATCTTTATGTCAGGTTGCTGTGTCAATACACTTAGGAGATCATAGTTTCTGAATTGAAATACAAATAAATATGTCTGAAATTTTTTCTTTTTTCTTTTTTTTTGAGACGGACTCTCATTCTGTCACCCAGGCTGGAGTGCAGTGGTGCAATCACAGTTCACTGCAAACTCCGCCTCCCAGATTCAAGTGATTCTCCTGCCTCAGCCTCCAGAGTAGCTGGGATTACAGGCACCCGCCATGACAAGCAGCTAACTTTTATATATTTTTTTCTATTTTTAGTAAAAGGGTTTCACCATGTTGGCCAGGGTGGTCTCCAACTCCTGACCTCAGATGATCCTCCCGCCTCAGCCTCCTCAAGTGCTGGGATTACAGGTGTGAGCCACTGTGCCTGGCCTGGAATTTTTTTCTAAAATTTACATTTCTGAGTTAAGAATGCTTAAAATATTATAAAAACAGAAGCACAATTCATTATGTGTTTCATTAATTACCTTTATTAAAAACAACACAATTATATTACAATAGGACAAAAAATGTTTAAGCAAATGAAAACGAAACCATGACATACCCAAACTCAGGAGGAGGCAACAAAGGCAGTGCTAAAGGCAAGCTTACAGCTGCAGATGCTTAAACTAAAAAGAAGAAAGATCTCAAACCCATGCTAAAGGGAAGCTTACAGCTGCAGATCCTTAAATTAAAAAGAAGAAAGATCTCAAACCCGTGCTAAAGGGAAGCTTACAGCTGCAGATGCTTAAATTAAAAAGAAGAAAGATCTCATACCCTTGCTAAAGGGAAGCTTATAGCTGCAGGTGCTTAAATTAAAAAGAAGATAGATCTCAAATCAATAACCTAATATTACACCTGAAGGAGGAAAAAAAAAACTAATGACAAACCAAGCAAAAGGAAGAAAATAACAGATTAGAGCAGAGATAAGCAGAATAAGACCAGAAAAAAAGGAAAAAAAAACAGTGAGTTTGTTTTTTTAAAGATCAATAAAAATTTTAAAATTTTTATTTTAAGCTATATTAAGAAAAAAAGAGAAATCTCAAATACTAAAATCATAAATAAAAGAGTTGACAGTACAACAGATGCCACAGAAATGAAAAAGATTACAAGACACTAATGTGAGCAACCATATGCCACAAAACTGGGCAACCTAGAATAAATTTATAAATTCCTAGAAACACAAACCACCATACTGCATCACGGAGAAATAAAAAATCCAAAGAGACCTGTAACTAGTATGAAGATTCAACCAGTAATCAAAAACCCCACCAAAATGAAAATTCCAGGTCCAGATAACTTTACTGGAAAATTTTACCAAACATTTCAAGAAGAATTAATGCCAATCCTCTGCAAAATCTTCCAAAAATGTTCAAAAACCAGAAGGGGACATTCCAATCCATTCTATCAGGTCAACATTTATCTGATTCCAGAGCCAGATGAACACCTTTTGTAATAAAAACACTCAAAGAATTAGTAATATATGGAATCTCCTCAGTAAATAAAGATTATACATGAAAAGCTCACAGCTAACATCATACTCAATGGTGAAAAACTAAAATCTTTTCCTCTAGGATCAGGAATAAGATAGCAACTTCTCTTCCTGCCACTTCTATTCACCACAGCACTGGAATTTCTACTTAGAATAATTAGGCAAGAGAAATTAATAAAAAGCATGCAAATTGGAAAGGAAAAAGTACAAAATTTGTTCACAGACAACATGATGTAATGTGTAAAAATTCTGAAATTCCACAAAATACTGGTAGAATAATGAAATTCAACAAAGTTTCAGGATATAGTAACACACTCAAGTCAGTTGCATTCCTCTAAACTAACAATGAACAATCTGCAAATAAAATTTTAAAAAGAGGCCAGGTGCAGTGGCTCACAGTTGTAATCCCAGCACTTTGGGAGGCCAAGGCGGGTGGACCACCTGAGGTCAGGAGTTCGTGACCAGCTGGGCCAACCCCATCTCTAATATAAATAGTAAAACTCTATCTCTATTAAAAATACAAAAATTAGCTGGGCATAGTGGCAGACACCTGTAGTCCCAGCTACTTGGGAGTCTGAGGCAGGAGAATTGCTTGAACTTGGGAATTGGAGGTTGCAGTCAGCTGAGATTGTGCCACTGTGCTGCAGCTTAGGAAACAGAGTGAGACGCGGTCTCAAAAAAAAAGAAAGAAAGGAAAGAAAGAGAGAGAAAGAAAAGAAAAGAAAGAGAAAACAAAAGAAATTTTTAAAAAGAATGACATTTGGCCGGGTGCGGTGGTTCATGCTAGCAATCCCAGCAGTTTGGGAGGCCAAGGCGGGCAGATCACCTGAGGTCACAAGTTCAAGACTAGCCTGGTCAACATGGAGAAACCCTGTCTCTACTAAAAATACCAAAAAGTTAGCTGGGCGTGGTGGCGTGCACCTGTGATCCCAGGTACTTGAGAGGCTGACGTTGGAGAATTGCTTGAATAAGGAAGGTGCAGGTTGCAGTGACCTGAGATAGTGCCACTGCACTCCAGCCTGGAAGACAGAGCAAGACTCCATCTCAAAAAAAAAAGTATTACATTTACAACAGCATTATAAAAATTATAAATAAGCTTAACCAAGAGGGCAAAAGATTTGAACACAGAAAACTACAAAACACTGTTGAAAGAAATTAAACACAAATACATGAAAAGAAAAGCTGGGTTTGCAGATTAGATGATTTCATCTTGGAATGATGTCAACACTACTCGAAGTGACCTAGATTCAATACAATCCTTATAAAGATTCCAATGACATTTTTGATAAACAGAAAAACCTATCCTAAAATTCATATGGAATCCCCAGGGCCCATGAATAGGCAAATCGATCTTGAAACAGAACAAAATTAAAGGTCTCAAAACAATTACAAAACTGCAATAAGCCAAAAAAAATGTGGTCATGGCATAAAGACACTCTTGACACACTTATGGACCAACACAACAGAGACCTTAGAAACCAACCCTGGCATATATGGTCCAATGACCTTCCACAAGGATGCCAAGACCACTCAATGGTGAAGGACAGTTTCTGCAACAAATTGTGTTGGGAAAATTGTATATCTACATGCAAAACAGTGAAGTTGGACTCTTACCTTACACCACGTTAAAATTAATTCAAAGTGAATTATAAACCTAAATGTAAAACTAGAACTATCAAACTCCTAGGGAAAACAAATTTGGAAAATGCTTTATGACGATGAATTTGTGAATAATTTTTAGGATATGACATTAAAAGCTCAGGCAGTAAAAGCAAAAATATATCAAACCTAAAAACTTCTGTACCTCAAAGGTCACAACCAACAGGGTAAAAGGCAAACTGTAGAATAAAAGAAAATACCAGTTGAGTGTCCCTTATTTGAAATGCTTGGGATGTGTTTCAGATTTTGTAATATTTGCACTATTCTTACTGGTTGAGCATCTCGAATTCAAACACCTGAGTCTGAGATGCTCCAATAAGCATTTCCTTTGAATGTCATGTTGGCACTCAAAAAGTTTCAGACTTTGGAGCATTTGGGATTTCAGATTTTTGGATCAGAGACATTCAATCTATAGTTGCTCATCATGTATCTCATAAGAAGTGAACATACAGAATACGTAAAGAACTCCTACAGAGAGACTACCAGAAGCAGAGAGGAGCAAACACACTTTCACACTAGGGCACCTCCTATCTCTCCTGGATTCCAATTAGGGCAGAGTAAGTGCTAGTTCTCTGCCAACATAGGATTAGGCCCTGCAGCTGCAGTGAAAATAATCACAGAAGAAAACTAAGAAATAAAAAATGGAGAAAGTGAGACATCAAACTAGAATTACTAGAATCCCCTAGGAAGAAGGAAAAAAAAAAACAAAACAGAAAAACAGTCAAACCAGATAATTAAACCTTGGTGTGACCAGAAGATCAGGGTTTCCTAAAGGAGTGGAAATTTATTGACTTGAAGATGATTTATTGATTACTGATTTGAAGAGGAAGAAAAACCATGAATGGTCTAAAGCAAAAGCCTAGTGTCTGAAGAAGTCAGTAGGGTGAAAACAAGAGCTGGCCAGAATGTCCACAGATGGTGACAAGTTTGCAAAGCCTTTACTAGACTACTTGTGAGGCTAACTAGAGGCCAAGGAGCCAACACTGCCCCTGTCCTTACAGAGAGACCCTACACAGGATTCCCAGATATACATGGAAGGACAACATCTTATCAGGTCCTCTCTGTGCAGATGTGGTTATCATTCCAAATAATGAGCTCCAGCACCAAGACTGTTCCATCCTCAATTGCTTTGAGTGGGCAATGTAGGCTTTCCACACACGAGCTACATGTAGGTTCCTTGGGTACCCAGATGGGAGCCGTGAAACACAAACCTTCCATGGTCAGGTCCGTATCTGTTTCCTGCCTTTTCCCCAGCAATCCCCAGGCCTCAGCAGCAGTGGTCTACCTCTGCTGATTCTCATTCAGAATCTAAACTTAGAAACAATTAGAACCTAGACCCCAATTCTACCTGAAAGTAACAGAATAACATAATCTATACCCTGAAGCATGACTGTTTGCCCAACGTAATGAGGATGAACTGAGAGATAATGAATGACCATGACCCTGGCCCAAGTAACAAGAATGAACTGTGAGATAAATGAATGATCATGACCAAAAAACCCCACTACAACACAACAACAAAATAAAGTGATTAAAAAATGGACAAAGAACATTTATCCAAAGATGCAAAGATGATATAAAAATAGCCAACAGATACATGAGATATATGAGAAGATGTGTAACATCACTAGTCATTAAAGAAATGCAAATAGAAACCACAATGGGACATCACTTCTAACCCAACAGATAGTAACAAGTGCAGGTGAAACTGAAACCCTTGAACACTGTTGGTGGAAATATGAACTGGCTCCTCAAAAAAAAATAAAATAAAATGACCATATGATCCAGCCATCCAACTTCTACAGAGACAGAATAACTAGTAGCAGGAACTCAAACAGATATGTGCACACCTATGTTCACAGGAGCATTACACAGCCACAAGTGGAAGAAACCAAAACGTCCATCCAGGAATAGATGGATAAACAAAAGGATATATATATATAGAGAGAGAGAGAGAGAAAAAAATATATATATATATATGAAGAAATATTATTCAGCAATAGAAAGGAAGAAAATCCTGACACTTCTGACACATAACATGGAACCTACTTACAAAACAACAAATATTATATAACCCTAGGTATATAAGCCAAAGTTTTAGAAACACAAAGTAGAATAGTACTTGCCAGGAGGTGGAAGGAACGGGAAATTAATAGTTGTTGAATGAGTATAGAGTTTTCCAAGATAAAAAAACATCTAGAAATCTGCTACACAACACTGTAAATATTCTTAACTCTACAAAACTGTACACTTACAACTGGTTATGATGGTAAATTTTAAGGTATGTGTTTGTTACCAAAATTCAAAATAATAAATTATTTATAAAAAATGATCTTTTTTGACACAGGATCTTACTCTGTTGCCCTGGCAGGAGTGCAATGGCATGATCACAGCTCATTGCAGCCTCAAACTCCCAGGCTCAAGCAACCCTTCCACCTGAGCCTCCCAAATAGTTGGGACTACAGATGCACACCAAGATGTCAGGCTAAAGTTTGGTTTGGTTTTTTTGTAGAGAGGGTTTTCCCATGTTGCCCAGGCTGGTCTCAAACTCCTGGGCTCAAGCAATCCACCTCCCTTGGACTCCCACAGAGCTGAGATTATGAGCATAAGCCAACATGCCCAGCCTATAAAAAATTATTTCAAAAAGCCAAAAGATTAATCAAACTGGAATATTTAGAAATATTTAACCCAAAAGAAGTTAGGAAAGAATATATAGAAGATCAAAAGACAGACGAAGGCCAGGCATGGTGGCTCATGCCTGTAATCTGAACAATTTGGGATGCCAAGGTGGGTAGGTTGCTTGAGCTCAGGAGTTCAAGATCAGCCTGTGCAACATGGCAAAACTCTATCTCTACAAAAAATATAAAAATTAGCCAGGTGTGTTGCCATGCACCTGTAGTCCCAGCTACTCAGGGGGCTCAAGTGAGGATTGGTTGGGCCTGGGAGGCAGAGGTTGCAGTGAGCCAAGATTGCACCATTGCACTACAGTCTGGGTGACAGAGTAAGACCCTGTCTTAAAAAAATAAACAAACAAATAGAAAATAAGTAGAAAAATGGCAGACCTAAATCCAACCTTAGCAGTGATTAGTTACAATGTAACTGGACAAATACTCTACTTAAGACAGAGACTGCCAGACCTGAGAGGAAGGCAAGACCCAACAATATGGCATCCACAGAGACAAAATTTAAACACAAAGACACAAACAAAGTATGAGAAAAAATATGCTATGCAGACACTAATCTTAAAAATATGCTATCCAGACACTAATCATAAAAAGCTTCAACAGAGATGTTAACACTAGATGAAAGAGGCTTCAGAGCAAAATATATCACCAGAAATAAACAGGGTAATTTAATAAAAATAAAATAATCAGAGAGGATGATGTTACAATTATAAATTGTGCCTCAAAGTGCACACAAATTACACACACACACAGAGCCTCAAATATGTGAATCAAAAACAACAGACAAAAGCAGGAAATTGACAATCCAAAATTATAGCTGGTGAATTAATACTGCTCTCTCAGTAACTGATGGAACAACCAGATAAAAATATAGGAAAAATATGGATCTAAATGACAAAATCCTGACCCAAATGGTACTTGGCAGTACCAAGATAAACTGTATGTCGATCGATTGAGAAAAGGTTCAAGCCTGAAATAGTATACAAAGTATGTTGTCTGAACACTTGAAATTAAATTAGAAACCAACAACAAATTGATATCCAGAAAAGCCTCAAATGTCTGAAAACCAAGTAATAAACTTTGAAATACCCTGTGAGTCAAAAAGTATTCACAAGGGGAACTGGAATGTATTTGGAACAAACTTGTTATAAAAATCTCATTTCTGGTAGACTAGAGGTGACAACTTCTTTCCTGCTCCTCTCTCTGTGAGGACCAATTCCCCTTAAACCTTGACCAGACTACTGACTTATTTGGCCAACAGAAGGTGACAAAGGTGGTATTTGGGGACTTCAGAAGCCAGGCTGAGAAAACAGAACACTTATCCAGGAGAAAGCCAGTCACCAGGCAGGAAATCCCACTCCCCTGAGACCTCATGATGGAAACCACACGGCCAGTCCATGACTAGCTACATGCATTGACATCCCCACTGAGCCTCCAGCAACACCGACTCCCAACAACTAGTGAGCCTCCAGCAACATCCACTCCCAACCACTAGTGAGCCACCCTGCACACAACCCCACTGTGCTTTCACACAATCCAACTTGGCTGCAACGGTGTGTGAGATGAGCTGACCACCAAGACTCTCTAAGCCAAAAAACAAGTAATAATGAGTTGTTTTAAGCTGCCAAGTTTTGGGGATGGTTTCTTCAGAATAGAAAACTGGAACAGAATATGACCGCTGGAAATGAGCTGCTGTGGTAATCAGAAGCTACAATATGTGACACGACTGTGAGGCTGACCTGTAACTGGGCCTCAAGGAGACCATTCATGCAACCTGGAAGAGCATCAAGACTCTTGGTCAGGGCCTGAAGGATGGTGAGAAAATGTCATTGGAAACTGGAGAAAAGGCCTGAGAGTTACGTGCTGAGGGACTGTGGGAAAACTATGGCCACAACATGGAAACTGAAAGGGCACTGCACCATCTCAGGGATCTGCCTAAGGAGACATCTGGGAAGAACATGGAAAGTGCTACCAGCCTCCCCTAACTGTCACTGAATAAATATGACAGGAGAGGGACATGATCTAAACAAGGAGGTTCAGTTTTCAAACAGAATTTAGAGAAAATATAAAGAAATAATTTCTTGTCTCAAAAGGCCAAAGTAGAAAAAAGAAAGAAAAGAAAAGGAAAAAAAATGAAAAAGAAGCCATTGAATACCCTATTGACCCTAAGAAAAAGGCAGGGAAACTTGGTCAAAGGCAAGCCAGGCACTGAAGGAGAAAGGACACAAACACCATTCTCAGGGACCAGGACTGGGCGCCGTTCTCAGGGACCAGGACTGGGCAGTAATCACAGAACTGTAACAGGCACCCCATGGGAATGACCAACTGTTAGACGGGGCCTGCAGGGCAGCACTTCCCTCTTGCCTCCCACCAACAGCTTCTAAAGGGAAATGCCGACTGTTTTCACACCAGTCCCCTCACTGCGGCTGAGTTTGTGGGCTCAGATGATAGGTCACCACAACCTGATTCAGTCCCCACTGTGGCTGTGTGTGGGGGGTCAGATGACAGGCCACCACAATCTGATTCAGTCCACACTGTTGCTGTGTCGGGGGGGGGGCAGATGACAGGTCACCACAACCTGATTCAGTCCTCACTGCGGCTGAGTGTGTGTGGGTGCAGATGACAGGCCACCACAACCTGATTCAGGATTCAGTTGGGCTACCAGCCAGTGCCATAAGGAAAACCATTCTGGGGCTCTTGAGAGGGGCAAAGCATAATTTGCATGTAGCAGAAATGTTAATAGTTTGTGACCAGAGGACAAGCTGTGGTTTATTAAAGACTGCTGCAGGTTCCTACTATGCTTCTCATCAAGAGGTGGAATCTAATCACCTTCCGCCCTTGAATCATGGCTGGTCTCAGTGATGAGTGCGACTGGGCAGTGTGGCAGGAGAGATGCTCTGGGACTTCTGAGGGGCGATCATAAGAGGCCTTACAGATTCTGCCTGGGCCTCTTGGACACGCACCCTGGGAGAAACCAGACAAACCTGACTACCTGACGCTGCCAGACTGGAAGGAAGTCCGTGCTGGCCACGAAGAGAGGGCTGGGTGCCTGCTCCGTGTCCCCAGCCATCAGAGTCCTTCCAGATGAGACCAAGGACATCATGAAGCAACCAACCCACACCGCCCTGTCCAGTGTCTTGACCCAGAAAATTGTGACATGTAAAAAAATAAATTCCTGGTTTAAGCCAGTAAGGTTACTGGTACATAGTTACATCTCAGATAATTAAAACCTTGAAAAACTCATGAGAGATCACAAGTAGAACCTTGATCTGAAACGGCATGTAGCGATTTATATTGAGTATTAGGTTAAAAATGCAAGAATGGAGCATAGTTACTATTTTACGTTAAAGCTAAAACTATAATTGCCTACTTAAAATTTTCAGTTAATTAGGTTGTCACTTTTTGTTCTTAACCAAGAAATCAACTAGTTTTAGTCCATAAACAGTTAGAACTGATGCACACATCCGTTTCTCCTTACTTATTTTAAACAGCTATCTGAAATAGGAAGTGTAATATAATCTTTAAAGAATCTGAAAACATGACAGAAATGTTTAAACTATAAACATATATTGTATATGTTAGCATATTGTATACATTGAATATTAACATAAGCTAGAATCATTGACATAAATTTATATAAACAAAAGGTGTAACATATGACAATGTTCTTCTTGATTTTTGTCTTTGCATATTTCTTTATTGGCCCTTGTCAAATGTGACCCACTAACTCCTGAATACTTTCTCCCTCCCCATTGATTCCTAAGGATGTCACCACAGTGTTGGCCAGATGCACAGGTCACAGGGGACTGAATCTCATCACCCCACAAACATACCATTCAGGTTTTGCCAAGAATGACACTGTAAATGTAACAAAGCTTCCGTGCTTGTTAGTGAACGCCAACTCAGCTCCTCTCCTGTATTCAGAAATCAGGATGAGATGAAAACAACAAGCAGGCCAGTCACAGTGGCTCACGCCTGTAATCCCAGCACTTTGGGAGGACGAGGCAGGTGGATCACCTGAGGTCGGGAGTTCGAGACCACCCTGATCAAAACAGAGAAACCCCATCTCTACTAAACATACAAAATCAGCCGGGCATGGTGGCAAATGCCTGTAATACCAGCTACTCAGGAGCTGAGGCAGGAGAATTTCTTGAACCCGGGAGGTGGAGGCTGCAGGGAGCCGAGATCACACCACTGTCCTCTAGCCTGGACAACAAGAGTGAAACTCTGTCTCAAAAGAAAAAAAATTAAAAATAAAAGAACAAGGAAACAAAAGTAACAAGGCTTGACACCAGATGAGCCTGAATCTAAGCAAGAAAAGCCCAGAAGAAATCCCATTTTGGGTCACTGGCTGCATGGTAGTAATACCATACACATAAAGGAAGAGAAGAGGATGTGGCTTTCACTTTGAATTTTTTGAGCTTAAGGTAAATTTTGTGTAGCTACAAAGAAGCATTCAACAGAGAGTTAAACCTATGATGGAAAGACTGAAGGGGTCCAAGCTGTAGAGAAACAGGACTGCAAACCACAAAGGGCTGAATCAGTCAAGGAGAACTGCAGGGCGGGATGAACAGGGACTAATGGAACATTTGGATAAGCTGTTGAGAAGAAAGGAGAATTCAGAGAAAAAGAACTGTCAGTGAGGTCATAATAGGAACTGTTACAGTGAACTAAATATGGCCTGGGAAGGACTCTGTACTTCTAGATTTGAGTCCCTGTGGACAAACTGCAACCTAACTTAATAGGTAGAAAGACTGAAAACCTAACTTAGGAGTATCCGCCTGTAACTATAGCTGAGTCCTGGCCAATCCCAGCTGCCAAACTTCTGCCACTCACACACTGCTGAGTGTTCAGCTGTGTTCAAATAAGGCAAATGCTGAGCACTGTAACCAGTCCAGTTGTTTCTGGACCTCACTGCTGAGAACAGTAAGGGACCCAGTTGCTTCTGGACCTCACTTCTCACTTCAGATTTCTGTACATCACGTTCCCTTTATTGTCTATAAATCTTCCACCATGTAGCTGTGCTGGAGTCTCACCAAATCTGCTGTGATTCTGGGGGCTGCCTGATTCGTGAATCATTCATTGCTCAATTAAGTTCCTTTAAATTTAATTCAGCTGAAGATTTTCTTTTAATAGATGGTGTCAGAAGTGGGATCTGTGGGAGCAGGACTGCTAGGGCCTCCGGAGCTATAGTGTGGTGAGCAGTGTTGCTAGGGCTTCTAATGACCCCCAGGAGTGCTGAGGTACAAGAAAGGCACCTGCAAGGACTGCTCTGTGATGGCAGCAGTGGTCCACATGGAGCAGTTGCTACGGAGACACTGGCTGCAGTGGGGAGGAGTGGCTGGGGCTGTGCACTCCTCGAAGCTGGTGGGAGCCAGGAACCGGTGGGAGCCCCACCCTTTCTAAATTGGCAAGCAGGAGCCCCGCCCTCCCAGGCACAGCTGCAGCCATCCAGCCATGACTGCAAACCCGGGCATCTTTGCACTCTTAGAGGCCCAGCAAGCCCCCTGCCCCCACAGGCTCAGTCGTACCTGGTCCCACCACCTGGCATCTCTCCACTCCCAGAGCCCACTCCAACTTCGGATCCAAGTTGAGGCTGAACCCAGGCACAGTCGCAACCCGGCCCGGTTTGTGCAAGCTCAGGGCAGTGCTGACGTGCCAGCCCCCTGCCACCTCCGCCCCCTCCAGACTTTCGGCAGTGACGAGCACAAGAGGGAGGTTGAGGTGGGTCTAAGAGTGGCTCAGCACTGGCCTGAAGGCACTCCTCAGCTCGAACAGCCTCAGCAATGTGGGCACAGCTAACCACAGTGCGTCTCTCTCAGCTGCTGAGAGCTGAACAGACGTTGGGATGACCTGCCAACAGAAAGGAGTTACCCACTGCAGTTCTCCTCTGAGCTGTACTGTTGCTCAATAAAGCACCTCTTCACCTTGCTCACCTTCTATTTGCCCACATACCTCATTCTTCCTGGACTCAGGAAAAGAACTCGGGACCTGCCAACTAGCAGGGCTGAAAGAGGTGTAACGTAAACAGGGCTGAAACGCACCCTTTCCTTGCCAAATTGCAGGCAAGAAGAAGAGAAGAGAGAAGGAGATAAGAGCTGTGGCCCTTCAGGGAGCCCAGACCTAGGAGCTCCCCAAGCCAGGGCTGTGATGCCTTCTTTGGGGCTCTGCAGTTCCTGCATCTCCAAGTTTCCAGGCACCACTGCATTTCCTGATACACACAGTGGAAGCTGTTTGCAGTCGGTCTGGTCCAGCTGCAACCTCACAGGGAGCTGGCACTTGTGCCGGTACCTGGAGCTGCCCACTCCACTGCAGCTGGCATGCTTGGCTGTGTGCAGTGGCCAGATCCCATGCTTGCTTGCTCACACACCCTTCACTGCTCTGTACCCAGCTCATCCTTGGCAGGTGTGGGATCCACACCACTAGCATGAGCCGAGTGGACAGAACGAACCCAGTGGGCCCGAGCAAAACACAGGTAAAGGCACCACCAGCCAGAGGTTTCAGGCAGAAAAGTGATGTCTCAGGATTCTGTAACACTTGTGCACTTTGACCTCTCAGAGCAGCTGGGGATCATGGTAAATTCTCTCTCGGATTTCATAGCTCCATGGATTTGTGTTTTGAGCTCTGAGTTTCCTTGAGCAATTTTCTGTTCCAAACTGCTATCCAGCCATGACTGACTGGATGTTTTAGAAGTTATGACAGAAACGGGACAGGGCCCAGGATCAGATTTGATCCAGTAGTTAACTGGCTTGAATCCAGTTCCAGTTAGAGACCTCCTACATCTGAATGGGTCAGAAGGAAAGTGGTAGTAAATGATAATTTTGGAGGGTTGTAAAATTTGGCTTTTGAAAATTCACAGGGATTTTTGTGTTCTACCCCTTTGTTTCATTTTCCTCGCACGCTTAGGTAGGAAAAAAAATCATTGGCTAAGTCAATCAAGGGAACCTGGGAGTAAAGACAATATATTAGGTAACAATAGGATCATTAATTTCTGGAAAACTTAGTTCCTTCTGGCTAATTCATTAGGCCTGGGAAGCAGCAAAGTCTTACAGAAATGGCAAAATCTTTCTAAAGATAACTTACAGTGGAACATTCCAAATGAATAATGCCCTGAAGTGCATTTAAAAATGAGGGCTCCCAAATTAGTCTCATCTAGGGATGCCTATTAATATGCAGAAGCTTCTAAAAAGATTTAGAGGTGGCACGGCCTATCTGGGAGCAAGTTTGGGTCTTACCAGTTTGACACTGGGTGCTAAGCAAAGTGGCACGTGTCTATGTTTTGTCACACGTATTTTGCTCTGAACAGAATGAAAAATGTTAATTTGGTTACTCCAAGCAACCCCTTGGGCAGCATCTTACAAAGCTGAGTGGATTCTTCCTGTGGCTCCATGATTATCATTGTGATGCAGCTTTGCCCCAGAGCTATAATATGGTGAGGAGGGTGACAGAGCAAGACGTTATCTTTAAAAAAAAATGGCCAGGGGCAGTGGCTCACGCCTGTAATCCCAACACTTGGGGAGGCTGAGGCAGGTGGATCACCTGAGGTCAGGAGTTCAGGGCCAGCCTGACCAACAAGGAAAAACCCCGTCTCTACTAAAAACACAAAATTAGCTGGGCATGGTGTGACATGTCTCTAATCCCAGCTACTCAGGAGGCTGGGGCTGGAGAATTGCTTGAACCTGGGAGGCAGGGGGTTGCAGTAAACCGAGATCGCATCATTGCACTCCAGCCTGGGCAACAAGAGGGAAAATCCACCTCAAAAAAAGAAAAGAATAATAGATTTGCCTATAAGGTTTTATGAAAAAGTGGGTGACATTTGGCTTTCTCTCTTTAAAGAAGATTTTCAGAAAATATTAAAAAATAATGGGAAGAGGAGCCAAGATGGCCGAATAGGAACAGCTCGAGTCTACAGCTCCCAGCATGAGCGACGCAGAAGACGGGTGATTTCCGCATTTCCTTTTGAGGTACTGGGTTCATCTCACTAGGGAGTGCCAGACAGTGGGTGCAGGACAGTGGGTGAAGTGCACTGTGCACTAGCTGAAGCAGGGCAAGTCATTGCCTCACTCGGGAAGTGCAAGGGGTCAGGGAGTTAGTTCCCTTTCCTGGTCAAAGAACGGGGTGACAGACGGCACCTGGAAAATCGGGCCACTCCCACCCTAACACTGTGCTTTTCCGACGGGCTTAGGAAACGGCACCCCAGGAGATTATATCCGGCACCTGGCTCGGAGGGTCCTACGCACACGGAGTCTCGCTGATTGCTAACACAGCAGTCTGAGATCAAACTGCAAGGCAGCAGCAAGGCTGGGGGAGGGGCACCGGCTATTGCCCAGGCTCTCTTAGGTAAACAAAGCAGCCAGGAAGCTCGAACTGGGTGGAGCCCACCACAGCTCAAGGAGGCCGTCCTGCCTCTGCAGGCTCCACCTCTGGGGGCAGGGCACAGACAAACAAAAAGACAGCAGTAACCTCTGCAGACTTAAATGTCCCTGTCTGACAGCTTTGAGGAGAGCAGTGGTTCTCCCAGCATGCAGCTGGAGATCTGAGAATGGGCAGACTGCCTCCTCAAGTGGGTCCCTGACCCCTGGCCCCCAAGCAGCCTAATTGGGAGGCGCCCCCCAGTAGGGGCAGACTGACACCTCACACGACCGGGTACTCCTCTGAGACAAAACTTCCAGAGGAACGATCAGACAGCAGCATTCGCGGATCACGAAAATCCACGGTTTTGCAGACACCACTGCTGATACCCAGGCAAACAGGGTCTGGAATGGGCCTCTAGCAAACTCCAACAGACCTGAAGCTGAGGGTCATGTCTTTTAGAAGGAAAACTAACAAACAGAAAGGACATCCACACCAAAAACCCATCTGTACATCACCATGATCAAAGACCAAACGTAGATAAAACCACAAAGATGGGGAAAAAACAGAACAGAAAAACTGGAAACTCTAAAAAGCAGAGCGCCTCTCCTCCTCCAAAGGAATGCAGTTCCTCAACAGCAACGGAACAAAGCTGGATGGAGAATGACTTTGACGAGCTGAGAGAAGAAGGCTTCAGACGATCAAATTACTCTGAGCTTCCCCAATCCAGCAAAGCAAGCCAACATTCAGATTCAGGAAATACAGAGAACGCCACAAAGATACTCCTCGAGGACAGCAACTCCAAGACACATAATTGTGAGATTCACCAAAGTTGAAATGAAGAAAAAAATGTTAAGGGCAACCAGAGAGAAAGGT
The DNA here is from genome assembly GCF_000001405.40 of Homo sapiens. Lineage (NCBI taxonomy): Eukaryota > Metazoa > Chordata > Mammalia > Primates > Hominidae > Homo > Homo sapiens. The sequence goes on from NT_187362.1 coordinate 27,442, forward strand.
CAGGTTACCCACAAAGGGAAGCCCATCAGAATAACTGCTGATCTCTCGGCAGAAACTCTACAAGCAAGAAGAGAGTGGGTGCCAACATTCAACAATCTTACAGAAAAGAATTTTCAACCCAGAATTTCATATTCAGCCAAACTAAGCTTCATAAGTGAAGGAGAAATAAAATACTTTACAGACAAGCAAATGCTGAGCGATTTTGTCACCACCAGGCCTGCCCTAAAAGAGCTCCTGAAGGAAGCACTAAACATGGAAAGGCAAAATCGGTACCAGCCACTGCAAAAACATGCCAAATTGTAAAGAACATCAAGACTAGGAAGAAACTGCGTCAATTAACGAGCAAAATAACCAGCTAACATCATAATGACAGGATCAAATTCACACATAACAATATTAACTTTAAATGTAAATGGACTAAATGCTCCAATTAAAAGACACAGACTGGCTAATTGGATAAAGAGTCAAGACCCATCAGTGTGCTGTATTCAGGAAACCCATGTCACGTGTAGAGACACACATAGGCTCAAAATAAAAGGATGGAGGAAGATCTACCAAGCAAATGGAAAACAAAAAAAAGGCAGGGGTTGCAATCCTAGACTCTGATAAAACAGACTGTAAACCAACAAAGATCAAAAGAGACAAAGAAGACCATTACATAATGGTAAAGGGATCAATTCAACAAGAAGAGCTAACTGTCCTAAATATATATGCACCCAATACAGGAGCACCCAGATTCATAAAGCAAGTCCTGAGTGACCTACAAAGAGACTTAGACTCCCACACAATAATAATGGGAGACTTTAACACTCCACTGTCAACATTAGACAGATCAATAAGACAGAAATTTCACAAGGATACCAAGGAATTGAACTCAGCTCTGCACCAAGAGGACCTAATAGACATATACAGAACTCTCCACCCCAAATCAATAGAATATACATTTTTTCAGCACCACACCACACCTATTCCAAAATTGATCACATACTTGGAAGTAAAGCCCTCTTCAGCAAATGTAAAAGAACAGAAATTAAACTGTCTCTCAGACCACAGTGCAATCAAACTAGAACTCGGCATTAAGAAACTCACTCAAAACTGCTCAACTACATGGAAACTGAACAACCTGCTCCTGAATGACTACTGGGTACATAACAAAATGAAGGCAGAAATAAAGATGTTCTTTGAAACCAACGAGAACAAAGACACAACATACCAGAATCTCTGGGACACATTCAAAGCAGTGTGTACAGGGAAATTTATAGCACTAAATGCCCACAAGGGAAAGCAGGAAAGATCCAAAATTGACACCCTAACATCACAATTGAAAGAACTAGAAAAGCAAGAGCAAACACATTCAAAAGCTAGCGGAAGGCAAGGAATAACTAAAATCAGAGCAGAAATGAAGGAAATAGCAACAAAAAAATGCTTCAAAATATTAATGAATCCAGGAGCTGGTTTTTTGAAAGGATGAACAAAATTGATACACTGCTAGCAGGACTAATAAAGAAAAAGGAGAGATGAATCAAATAGACACAATAAAAATAATAAAGGGGATATCACCACTGATCACTCAGAAATACAAACTACCATCAGAGAATACTACAAACACCTCTACACAAATAAACTAGAAAATCTAGAAGAAATGGATAAATTCCTCCACGCATACACTCTCCCAAGACTAAACCAGGAAGAAGTTGAATCTCTGAATAGACCAATAACAGGATCTGAAATTGTGGCAATAATCAATAGCTTACCAGCCAAAAAGAGTCCAGGACCAGATGGATTCACAGCCAAATTCTACCAGAGGTACAAGGAGGAACTGGTACCATTCCTTCTGAAACTATTCCAATCAATAAAAAAAGAAGGAGTCCTCCCTAACTCAATTTATGAGACCAGCATCATCCTGATACCAAAGCCGGGAAGAGACACAACCAAAACAGAGAATTTTAGACCAATATCCTTGATGAACATTGATGCAAAAATCCTCAATAAAATACTGGCAAACCGAATCCAGCAGCACATAAAAAAGCTTATCCACCATGATCAAGTGGGTTTCATCCCTGGGATGCAAGGCTGGTTCAATATACACAAATCAATAAAAGTAATCCAGCATATAAACAGAGCCAAAGACAAAAACCACACGATTATCTCAATAGATGCAGAAAAGGCCTTTGACAAAATTCAACAACGCTTCATGCTAAAAACTCTCAATAAATTAGGTATTGATGGGACTTATCTCAAAATAATAAGAGCTATCTATGACAAACCCACAGTCAATATCATACTGAATGGGCAAAAACTAGAAGCATTCCCTTTGAAAACGGGCACAAGACAGGGATGCCCTCTCTCATCACTCCTATTCAACATAGTGTTGGAAGTTCTGGCCAGGGCAATCAGGCAGGAGAAGGAAATAAAGGGTATCCAATTAGGAAAAGAGGAAGTCAAATTGTCCCTCTTTGCAGATGACATGATTGTATATCTAGAAAACCCCATTGTCTCAGCCCAAAATCTCCTTAAGCTGATGATAAGTAACCTCAGCAAAGTCTCAGGATACAAAATCAATGTACAAAAATCACAAGCATTCTTATACACCAATAACAGACAAACAGAGACCCAAATCATGAGTGAACTCCCATTCGCAATTGCTTCAAAGAAAATAAAATACTTAGGAATCCAATTTACAAGGGACATGAAGGACCTCTTCAAGGAGAACTACAAACCACTGCTCAATGAAATAAAAGAGGATACAAACAAATGGAAGAACATTCCATACTCATGGATAGGAAGAATCAATATCATGAAAATGGCCATACTGCCCAAGGTAATTTATAGATTCAATGCCATCCCCATCAAGCTACCAATGACTTTCTTCACAGAATTGGAAAAAACTACTTTAAAGTTCATATGGAACCAAAAAAGAGCCTGCATCACCAAGTCAATCCTAAGCCAAAAGAACAAAGCTGGAGGCATCACCCTACGTGACTTCAAACTATACTACAAGGCTACAGTAACCAAAACAGCATGATACGGATACCAAAACAGAGATATAGACCAATGGAACAGCACAGAGCCCTCAGAAATAATGCCGCATATCTACAACTATCTGATCTTTGACAAACCTGACAAAAACAAGGAGTGGTTCCCCTATTTAATAAATGGTGCTGGGAAAACTGGCTAGCAATATGTAGAAAGCTGAAACTGGATCCCTTCCTTACACCTTATACAAAAATTAATTCAAGATGGATTAAAGACTTAAATGTTAGAACTGAAACCATAAAAACCCTAGAAGTAAAACTAGGCATTACCATTCAGGACATAGGCATGGGCAAGGACTTCATGTCTAAAACACCAGAAGAAATGGCAACAAAAGCCAAAATTGACAAATGGGATCTAATTAAACTAAAGAGCTTCTGCACAGCAAAAGAAACTGCCATCAGAGTGAACAGGCAACCTACAAAATGGGAGAAAATTTTTGCAACCTACTCATTTGACAAAGGGCTAATATCCAGAATCTACAACGAACTTAAACAAATTTACAAGAAAAGAAATACAACCCCATTAAAAAGTGGGTGAAGGATATGAACAGACACTTCTCAAAAGAAGACATTTATGCAGCCAAAAGACACATGAAAAAATGCTCATCATCACTGGCCATCAGAGAAATGCAAATCAAAACCACAATGAGATACCATCTCACACCAGTTAGAATCGCAATCATTAAAAAGTCAGGAAACAACAGGTGCTGCAGAGGATGTGGAGAAATAGAAACACTTTTAAACTGTTGGTGGGACTGCAAACTAGTTCAACGATTGTGGAAGTCAGTGTGGCGATTCCTCAAGTATCTGGAACTAGAAATACCATTTGATCCAGCCATCCCATTAGTGGGTATATAACCAAAGGACTATAAATCATGCTGCTATAAACACACATGCACAAGTATGTTTATTGCCGCACTATTCACAATAGCAAAGACTTGGAACCAACTCAAATGTCCAACAACGATAGACTGGATTGAGAAATTATGGCACATATACACCATGGAATACTATGCAGCCATAAAAAATGATGAGTTCATGTCCTTTGTAGGGATATGGATGAAATTGGAAATCATCATTCTCAGTAAACTATCGCAAGGACAAAAAACCAAACACTGTATGTTCTCATTCATAGATGGGAATTGAAAAATGAGAACACATGGACACAGGAAGGGGAACATCACACTCTGGGGACTGTTGTGGGGTGGGAGGAGGGGGGAGGGATAGCATTAGGAGATATACCTAATGCTAAATGACGAGTTAATGGGTGTAGCACACCAGACTGGCACATGTATACATATGTAACTAACTGGCACATTGTGCACATAAACCCTAAAACTTAAAGTATAATAATAATAATAGTAATGATAAAATAAAATAATGAAAAATTTGTTTGCCTTGTAAATAAATTACCAAAAAAAAAAAAGGAAAAACAAGAGGCAGATTATTTGTGGAGATAAGTCTTCCCCGTATCAATGAGTAAAGATTTTTGCCCTTTAAAAATTTTTTAAGTCATGATTTTAGGTAAATGAATGACTTACGTTGACGTGGAATTC
>NT_187363.1:0-127682 GCF_000001405.40 Homo sapiens
GATCGAGACTATCCTGGCTAACACGGTGAAACCCCGTCTCTACTAAAAATACAAAAATTAGCCGGGCATGGCGGCGGGAGCCTGTAGTACCAGCTACTCCAGATGCTGAGGCAGGATAATGGCGTGAACCCGGGAGGCGGAGCTTGCAGTGAGCCGAGATCCCGCCACTGCACTCCAGCCTGGGTGACAGGACCAGACTCCGTCTCAAAAAAAGAAAAAAAAAAAAAAAAGAAAAGCAAAAATAGTAGGCTTAAATCCAAACTTTTCAATAATTATTTCAAATGTAATTTAAATACTCCAAATAAAACACAGATTGTCCAACTGGCTAATAAAAGTACCTATAAGAGATGCATGCCAAATATTATGGTATAGATAATTTGAGAGTAAAATAATTTCCAAGTATACCAAGGAAACAACAAGCAAAATAAACCTTATGTGGCTATATTAATATAAGAAAAAGTAGACCTCCAAACAAGCAATATTACAACAGACAGCTATTTCATAATGATAAAATGTCAAGTAATTATGAAGACATAATGCTGTATTGCTGACAGAATAACTAAAGAAAATTAAGATAAAATAATTTTGACAACAGCTTGACATAATCGATATTGACCAAGACAATAGAATATATGTTCTATTATGCTACACATGAAACATTTATCAATAGGCTATAGACCACAAAATATCTCTCAAGAAGTTTCAAAACACTGTAATCATAGAAAGTATGCTTTCTGACCATAATGAAAATGAGTTGAAATGGGTAAAAACAAGCTACCCAGGAAAGTCTACACTATTGGAAGATTTAAATACATCTTAAAATGCCCTTTAGCGCAAGGAAGAAATCATAAGAAACACCTTTAAATACATTGAACTGAATACAAATAAAAATATACTATATCAAAATGTATGGGATAAAGTTAAGCAGACCCAGAGTAAATTTTTTGTATAAATGCTTATTCTGAAAAAGAGAAGTTCAAAACAAGTGAACTAATTTTCTACCTTAAAAAGAAAATCTAAAACAAGAGAGCAAATCAAGTCCAAAACAAGTAGAAGAAAAGAAATAAAACAGAAATTAGAAATCAATGAGACAGAAAACAGAAACAGGAGAAAATCATCATGGCCAAAAGTTAGTTCTGTGAGAAAGAAAGAAAACACAAATTATAAATATCAGGGATTAATGAGATTGTACAGTTGTAGACACAAGAGACTTTAACAAGATAATGGAATATTGTGAAACATTTTATACTAATTTTCATTACTTGGATGAAAGGGTGAATTCCTTGAAAAAAGTTATAAAAAAATTCGCAAGATTAAATGGAACATATGAAGTAATTGACATTTATTAAAGTAATTAAATTAATTCTCAAATACCTGCACATAAAAACATAAAACTAAAGAAATAAAAAATAAGCAAACTCCAGATCCAAAGAGTTTTGCTGATGAATTCTTTCAAACGTTTAAAAAAAATAAAATTTTTAAATTATTTCAGAAATAAAGAAGGGGGAAATTCCAAACTTGTTTTATGAGTCAGAATCCTGATAGCAAAACTACAAAACCCAGGAATGCAACATTGATTTCAACTTAAAGAGCTATCACCATTCTAATCTGTGATTCTAATGAATTTGGCTATCTTAGATACCTTATACAAGTGGAATCATACAGTTTGTCCTTCTGTGACTGATTTACTTTACTTAGCATTAATGTCCTCTACGTTCATCCATGTTGCATATTGCCGGGCTTTCTTGTTTTAAAGCTGAATAATATTCCGTTGTATGAATATACCACATTTTCTTTATCTATTCATCTGCCAATAGACATTAACCTCATTTCCACATTTTGATTAGTGTAAATAATGCTGCAATGAGCCTGAGAATCATCCCAATCTCAATTCTTTCAGATAAATAACCTGAAGTGGATTGCTAGATCATATGGTAGTTCTAGTTTCTTAATTTTTTTGAGGAACCACGGTACTGTTTTCCATAGAGGCTGCACAGTTTACTTTTCCAGAAACACTGTATAAGTGTTCCAATTTCTCCCCATTGTTATCACTCGTTATCTTTTTCTTTTAATAAGACCATTCTAACAGGTTTGAGGCAATATCTCTTTGTGGTTTTGATTTGCATTTCCCTGATGATTAGTGATGCTGAGCATTTTTTTCATGTATCTGTTGGTCATTTGGATATTTTCTTTGGAGAAATATCTATTGCTGATTTAAAAAAAAAACCTCTCAGTAAACTAGAAAAAGAAATTTTCTCAAAGTGATGGAAAGCATCCACAACAAAACATATAAACAATATTACATTTAATGGTGAAAGCGTAAATGTTTAAACTACATAGATTAGGACAAGAAAGGAATGTGTGTGTTCATCGCCTCTATTCAACATTGTACTGGTAATCCTAGATTCTGAGTATAAATATTTAGGGGACAGCTATTGTCACTGAAGCCCAAATCTTGGTCATCCTCAGAAAGAAAAAGAAAAGTTGATTAGATTGTATATAATCTAATTCTACATGCTAATTTAATTTCTCTAAAATTACAGCTTGTATCAACTCTAGAATTTATTGGGCACCTCCTAGGACATAAACACTGGAATTTGGTGAGAGACATCAAATAGGAAAGAACCTGGCTCTGACATAAATTCAGCACACGGAGGGGGACACATGTTATGAGACTGACCTGGCCTCTCCATCTCATAAAAGGGGTTCTTGTTGCTGGTAACACAGATTAAAACTATTTCAATTACATTCAAGATAAAAAGATTAGCAATGGTATGCAAGATGAAAAAATCACCCCGCAGGAAGACAAAAGTCTCACAAAAGGATATTTAAACTAGCCAACACTTTGAAATTCAGGCAGAGATCATGCTTTTTGGGTGAACTAAGGTAGCAAGAACAAAGTAGAGGCTCCAATTCTAGGAAAAATGGGCCCTAATAAGGTTTACAATCCAGAAACTCAAGAAATCCAGACAGAAGGATGCAGTCTCCGCTTTCAAGGCAGTAGCAGTACCTGGATTACTAAGCCAATCCCCAACACAATCATAAACACAAATTTGATTGAGGAAGAAGCTTGCCCACCAGAAGATTTAGGTTATTACACGGTAGAATGTGATAGAGAAAACGAGCATGGGACTGGAAACAAAAGGAGGTAGCCCCATGATCACAACTGGAATATATCTGTCAGAGATGGTGCAGAAATAAGACTGAAGAGAGAGATCCTTAAACCCCACGTGCCTTACATCAGGACTAATCCTGGACACAGGCTGGAAAGCATAGCCTACAGGTGGTGAGGGAGGAGGAGTGGGCTCAGCTGTGAGAAGGAGAAGGAAATATGGCTGAAAACCAGATATGGGTCTTGAAATCACACCGAGGATTTGGGCCTTTGCTGCTGTCTGCCAGCAGCTGCCAGTAGTTCTCACACTTTGGCTGGCATCAAAATAACCTGGGGCAGTGGTGGGGAAGTGGGGGGAGTGTTGTAAAACCACAAGTGACCAGGAAAAAATCACCTGTATGTTTTCCAATTCAGTAAGTACAGAAATATTAATTGGAAAAAGGTGGAGATCAGACATTGATAGTGCTGTGAACTGCTTCAGGGACATAAGCATGATCTTTAGAGAGGTGACTCCAATCAGTTGAGGGCAACCACTGGACAGAAAGAGGTCCAGACTAACCGTACACAGAGACATCATACAACTACACTTTAGCAACTTCTCCAAATAACATGTCTCTTACTGAAACTTGGGAGGTTGAAAGTTAAAAATATAAAATCCAGTGGCATTTATGTATCCTAGGCACTTACATTCTTCCAACTTGCCTTTGCTTGGTTAGAGTTTTGGGTAGATAAGAGGTGGATTTACATGTGCTAGTGTGAGAACTTTGATACACTCATTTAGACATTGACCTACTATGTTGATATTTGAAAGCTAAAACCCAAAGAAATTTGTCTTTTTAGATAAAACAAATTCAGCCCTTACCTTCCTTATCGATTACATCTTCCACTAGCAGTAATAAAAAAGTAACAATATGCATAAGTCAAAGTATCTTCTTAAATCCTCTGTAGTGTTTTATTATTTAGTTGTGTTAATTAAAGTAACTGTCTCAAAATTTCAAGGAATGCCTGAGAATAAATTCATGTTCAAAGGCTGCCCTCTTGTGACAATGTGTTGTATGTTTTACTGTAAAAGTAATCTTATTTTACCTTATAACCTCTACAATCCAATTCATAACAGCATAAAAAGGAAATAAAACCTTACATAATTTTGAATTTTGAAAAGTACCTTGTTTATATGGTTCCTTTAGCTAATGAATAGACAATTTGGTAAATATTCCAGTGAGTTGAAGGTTTGAATCTATCTCACTTAACTAGCTTAATGGATATATTTCTAAACCTATACAACCCACTCCTCTGCTTTTAAAAAATTAAAGTTAGCTGTAGATTGAGATGTCAGTGACACAGTTTGTAGAACATAACTTAGATTGTCATCTACATTACTGTAACTACAAATACCACCCTCAGATGGAAGAATCAGTTTTATCAGTGAACATCTCTAATTGAACTATAAATGGTGTATGTCTTCTGGCTTTTACAAGCTCTTGGTCTAACACGGGATATATGATGTAAAAATTACAAAGCAAGGCCATGCACGGTGGCTCATGCCTGTAATCCCGCACTTTGGGAGGCCAAGGTGGGCGGATCTCAAGGTCAGGAGATCGAGATCATCCTGGCTAACACGGTGAAATCCCATCTCTACTAAAAATACAAAAATTAGCTGGGTGTGGTGGCACACGCCTGTAGTCCCAGCTACTCAGCAGGCTGAGGCAGGAGAATCGTTTGAACCCAGGACGCGGAGGTTGCAGTGAGCTGAGATCGCACCACTGCACTCCAGCCTGGTGGCAGAACAAGACTCCATCTCAAAAATAAATAAATAAATAAATAAATAAATAATAAAATAGCAATGACTATAATGTTTTGTGATGTTAAACTTTGAGAGCTTTTTTTTCTTTCTTTTCCCAAGTCCCTTTCCCAGTTCCAGAAGCAGAGTTATTCTAAGCTCACTGATGTAAACGAATAGAAAGAAAAGGTTTGGTGGAAAAACTAATAACTTGCTATCCTTTCTGTCTTTTGTTTTTTAAAAGCTTGAGCATTTGGGAGAATTTGGAAAGATTGTGGAGTAAGTGCAAAGAAGGAATTTGCTAAAAAAAATTATATAGGGTAAAATGAGTTTTTTCCAGGTTAGAAAATATCCACTCCCTACACTCCTACATTCCTTTCCCATGTTTAAGAAGAGGAAAAAACGAAGGCCTCTTGGTGAGCAGTGGTGACTTCGGCAGTTTCTTAGAAATATTCTAGAAGGCATAGTCATCTTTTAAAAAAAATAGCTACAAGGATATGTCTAAGCAGAAGGGACCATGGGCCAAATTACGTGTAGATTTTTGCATTCCAAATATGGTAAAGAAGAAGCAGGAAGCTGGGGGGCCTAAACAAGCCACACAGAAATGGACAAGGAAGAGGCCAGCAGCAGCTTGTGGGGGCAAGACGTCAAGCCCCAAATGTTAAACCCACCATCCATCCTCCAAATTCTGGCTCTGTTTAACAAGGCTGTGGTCTGACACTAGATGCCGCCTCCGTGACTAAAGCATAATTCCCCTTCTCCTGGGAGTGTTGACAGCTGACTCCTGTCAACAATACTCACAGCACAGTAAAGTTCCTTCATCCAAGTCCATGTCCCTTCTCAAGGCATCCCACATCCGAGAACTGCTTGGTACAGAAATATAATGGCCTTGTTTGCTTGCTCCAATTCGAGGTCATTAGGTAAACTCACCAAGATCCCTGTAGAGTGGACTGCGGCCATGATAGTGATTGCATTCCAGCCGACTTCCTGCTCCACCCAATCCTATTGCTTTCACTCTTCCACAGGTGTTGGGAATATCATTTCAACCTCCTTGCATACAAATCTCCAACTCAGAGTCGGCCTCTATCACTATCACAGTACTTGGAAGGGAGCATCTTAAAATGATTTAAGGCTAACTGCTCTAACAGCACAGACAGATGGTGGCTTAAAATAGAATTTAAGTGGACTTAAAAAAAACATGAAAAAAGTTGACATTGCACGCTCATATGAGCTTATGGATCAAACCATGTGTATGATTTTTAAGATCCCTCGTGCAGTATATATTTGCACTTTTTATAAATGACATCCCCTTAAATTGAATTCAGTGTAATTCAAAACAGTAATTTGTGGGAAAATTAGATATGCAGATAGCCTGGACTCTAGAGAGGGACACATCATTTGGAGAATAATAGTGAACCGGCTGGTCTATGAGGGAAGAAAACAGAGTGAATATAGACTATTATTGAACAAGGATATTTTCCCATGTATATTCAAATTAAGGTGAATTTCTTTACAGAATTATGCCTTAGAAAGAAAAAGTATTTCCCTATATTTGAGTCCTCACAAGTTTTCCTACGATGAGTGCTTTTGTGATTATTTTGAATAACAAAGTAATATTTAAAGAAACTCTCTTGCCCTGAATGTACTTTAATTTATGTCAATTGATGTTGCATATAGAGATCATCAGAGTCAAGCTACAAGAAAAAGAGGAACATAACTTAACAAAGACTTAGAGGATTAGTCCTAATAGTGTGAAATCAAAATTTCAAGTGAGGGAATAAATACAGCTTTTAATGATTACTTAAATGAAGTTTAACTCTAGCAGGATCTACAAGAAATTGGCAACCTTTGGCTTCAGTAACAGAAACTCAGGATATATGCCCTTCAGTGCTTTTGCATTCTGCATCATATTGAGAGAGACACCTTTAAACAGCAATAAGAAACTTCCTGTGACAACATAATAAATTCAAAAAGTTCTGTAACTCAGACAATTTAGATAGAAGTGAGAACTTTGGCCTATAAAGCCCTGTTCACCCTAAAGATGGATTAAACAATGAAAAAGATATTGATATCAAAAATTCAATCTGGAATTTGATTAAAGCATTTCATTAAATGTGATAATTTCTTAGTATATTATCTTACATATGCAATATTCATGTGTAACAAATTAAATACAAGTAAACATTTGACCATATTATCTGCAGCATAATTTACATATCAATTTATATATTCAGTTTTGCTCACATGAAAACTTGGATCTTCTCAATAAGAAAATTTGTGAAATCTTTAATTCCTCATCCCCAGGAATGTAAATAAATAAATATAAATACTGTAAGTCAGTGATTTTTTCCTAGGAAGACAGTAAAAATACTTTACACGCCTTCTCATTGTAAACCTAAATAACAAACAGAGAAAGGCTCTCTAAAGGAAAAAGACACATCTTAGGGAGGAGGGCACTGCAATGGGAATATGCATGACAAAGCAAACTATATAGATTCAAATGGTAAAGGAAGACAGGGTCTTTAAAAGAAAAATGATCAACCTGGAAACCTGGAAGTATGGGGGAGTAGAAAAAAATAAATAAAGGAAAAATGAAGAGGCTTCTATAATTGTTTTGATATAGTTACCTTTGACTATAAAGATCAACAACAAGGTCGATGTCAGTTGAAGTTTGGGCAGGCGGTTGCTGGATAGATGTCCTCACAGAAGTGTATTTTGTGTAAGGTTGCTATGGCCTTTGTGCAAGTTTGTGGTTTTTGTGGTATTTTGTGATAGTTGTTATCAGGCCTAGAAGCATGAGAACCCTCTCTTCAAGGCCTTCTCTGAATCTATTTGTTCAGGTTTTTTCTTTTCTTTTTAAACATTAGTGACAGTTTTGATTCATATAATGATCCCTAATTTCAAAAAAAATTAAACGTGTAACTTATTTATGATGTATTTGATAGGCTTGGATTTGTGAATCACCTCTACTATCTATAGTGGTAGATATATCTGAGCCTGCTTACACAGGACTTCCATCAGATTCTCTCTTCAGTGGAATTGGAAGAGGAGGTTTTGGAGAAAGGAATGAAAGAATTGTGCTGCATCAGAGGTCCCCACCTAACAGACACAGGGACTTTTTCTGTGCTCTTGCCAGGCCCTTGTATTGGCTGATGCAAAAGTAATTTTGGTTTTGTCATTGAAAGTAATGAGACCATCTGACTTACAATGTCTGTGCCATAACCAGCTCCTAATAGCCTCCGAGGACAGCTTTGCCCTGACATATACTGTCCTGGAACCACGTCTGCTTTGTAACTCCTGAGGTAGCTGCCACCATGACCAATGCCTTCTCATCTTTACTCTACATGCAGGTAACAGTTATAATTATGTCTCTGTGTATTCACAGAACATTTAGTACATCTGGGACTTCTACAAAATTTCCCTAGCTGATTTTGGTGTTCTGGGGTCCTGGCAGCTCTAGCCATGAAGGGATGATGCTTTAGCAGCATTTCTGTTGACTTTTTTGCTTTTTCTCAAAAACTGATTCCACTTTTCCCACATACGTTTGACAATTCATTTGAACTCATTTATTCTAAACCCATTATTTTTGGTCTATTATTTAATAGGGAGGGGGGCAAGGGATAAAAGATTACAAATAGGGTGCAGTGTACACTGCTCGGGTGATGGGTGCACCCAAATCTCACAAATCTCCAGTAAAGAACTTACCCATGGAACCAAATACCACCGTACCCCAATAACCTATGGAAAAAAAATAAAAAAGAGTCAGAAAGAAAGAAAATAATCACTGTACTTACCATGACACTTAGAAATGGTGACTAGAATTTTTTGTAAGTGTCACCTAATAACATTATTATTTTTTCTTTATGCTACAAACTAGCTCTGCTATTACAATCACTACTATTTGAAGTGTTACTAAATTAAATCTATTTTATCCTTCTGGACTCAGAAATGGGGGTAAATGCTAAGACAATTTCAGAATATGATCACATATTAAAAGCATATTATATGGGGAAAATGTGATTTTAAAAAAATAGAAATTGGTAGAGAAACAATTTTTGGGTCTTTAATTTCCGCACATTTTGCAAGTATGGACGCTGACTTTATTGATCCAAATGATTGTTTTCAAGCATGTTTGTATAGAAAACAGCCTTGGAATAGAAAACCAGTACCTCCTTCTGGAACAAAGGAAAAGTTTATTTACTGTCTAGTATAATGCAGATAATTTCTCCCTCTTGGGAAGCATACAGCCAAGTGAACTTCCAATAACACAAGTTGGGGTTTCTTGAGCTTGGGTTTTTCTTCCACAGTGTAATGTGCAGGTGCCACTTGGCTCTCTTTGTGTTATCCTGGGAAAGCTGATGGCTGTAGGTGCATGTGTTTATTTTGGGGTTCTCTATTCTGTTTCATTGGTCTTTGTGTCTGTTTTCATATCAGTACCATGTTATTTTGTCTACTTTGGCCTTAGGGTATAGTATGAAGTCAAGTAATGTGATGTCTCCAGCGTTGTTCTTCTTGCTTAGATTTCCTTTGGTTGTCTGGGCTCTTTAAAAATCCATATGAAATTTAGAATATTTTTTCTAATTTTGTGAAAAACGACACTGGTTGTTTCATAGGAATAGTGTTGAATGTGTAGATTGCTTTTGGCAGTATAGCCATTTTAACAATATTGATCTTTCTAATCCATGAGCATGGAATGGTTTTCCATTTGTTTCGACATCTGTGATTTCTTTCTGCAGCATTTTGCAGTTCTCCTTTTAGATATCCTTTACCTCCTTGGTTAGACATATTCTTCTTTTATTTTATTTTATTTTGGGGGTTGCTGTTGTAAACAGGATTGCACTCTTGATTTACCTTTCAGTTTAAATATTTTTGGTGAACAGCAATGCTACTTCTTTTTATATGTTGATTTTTTTTTATCCTGAAAGTTTGCTGAAGTTTCTTTATCAGTTCTGGGAGCCTTTTGGCACAGTCTTTAGGGATTTCTAGGTGTAGAATCATATCATCAGTGAAGAGAGATAATTTGACTTCATTTCCTATTTGGATGCTTTTTATCGCTTTCTCTTGCCTGCTTGCTCTGGCTAGGACTTGTTAAACAGGAGTGGGGAGAACAGGCATCCCTATTTTATTCCTGTTCATAAGGGGAATGTGTTGGGAGAAAAGCTGAGTGTTGGAAGAGAAGCTAAGGCAGGGCCATATGTTTCTCATTCACTTGATACACCATTTCCTTTTAACCCCCACATCCTCACCACCTGTTTCTTTGTTTGAGCACCAACAAATAGCGTGGGCTCCCAGAGCTTGGGGACTTTGCAGACTCCACACTCGTGATGGTCTCCTGGTCCCACTTTCTCTCTCAAACTGTCTTTTTCTCATTCCTTTGACTCTGCCAGACTTCATCACCCCCATGACCTAGTGTTGGGTCTGATCACCCCAACATTCCTGGCGCCCAACATGGGGTGACAAAGACCCGGTGAAGGAAGGCTAGAGCATATGAAAGCAGAGGACACATCATCAAAAGACACCCGAGGACATACAAAGATGGTGAGTGAAATTTATTACTTAGAATTTATTATCACTCTTTAGTTCAGTAGAGCAGTTTTGCCCATGGTTTCCAGAGCAAAGGACTATGAAGTTGGATGAATGGGAGAGAATTGGAAGAGATTTTTAAAAGGCATATAAAGATGGAGCAGAAATTCCAGTTTATATATGGTCAGTGTGGGCACTAATAAAGGCAGCCCTTGAGCCATTTCAAACAGATGATGAGGCAGATTCAGATGAGGAAGAGGAGGATGAGTGTAAAAAACTAACTTCAAATTCTGAGTGTGAGGAGCAGCTACCGGAGGAGATTAAAGAAAAGAAAGAAAAACTTTAAAAAGTATGTTTTACTAGCCCGTTGGCTCCACCAGCTGAATTAAGTGAATGGCCACCTCCTCTCTCTCCCCTAAATGTGTGAGAAAATAAATTAGCTGAAAAACTTACTACTCCTGTAGTTACAACATTAAAACCTGGAGCAATTGGTGGTGCTAGACAAAATTCTATTCAAAAAGCTAAAGCCAAGGGAGACCTTGAAGCATGGCAATTTCCCGTTACTATAATCCAGCAAGTAGGACAGAATATAGCTAATTAGCCTGCTTTTTCTTTTAAGTTACTAAAGAATTTAAGCAAGCCATTAGTCAATATGGACTGAACTCTCTTTTTGCACAATCTTTATTAAAAATATGGCTCTTGATAATAGATTAATACCATATAATTAGGATACTTTGACAAAACCTGTTCTCACTCCATCTCAGTACTTGCAGTTTAAAACTTGGTAGGCTGATGAACTCAAACTCAGGCAAAAGAAAACACACACCTGCAGCCACCTGTGCCTGTTTTCTCTGATCAGTTAATATGAGTTGGCCCTAACCGGGGTTGATTAGAGAATCAAGCAGTAATGGAAGATGTTGCCATTGTTCAGCTGTGCTTCATGTGCTTACATGCATAGAAAAGGATAAATGTTACAGGAGAAAAGTATCCTTATTTCAATTCTGCCTGACAAGGACCTAAAGAACCATATATTAATTTTATTGCTCAGCTCCAAGAGGCTGTGTATAAAGCCGTAAATGATCAAAACAGCTCAGGATGTTGTAATACAGCTTCTTGCATACAATAATGCTAATGCAGAGTGTCAAACTGCTATTAGATATCTGAGAGAGAAGGCTCATTTAACTAAATATATTAAGTCTTGCGATGGCATTGGAGGTAATTTACATAAGGCTATTCTTTTAGCTCAGGCTATGGCTAGATTAAGAGTAAGAAAAAATATGTTTCACTTCTCAGGCTCTTGCCTTAATTGTGGGCAAATTGGACACAAGAAAGGAATGTAGAAAGGAATTCAAAAGATGAAAACTACTACCATCAATCAACAGAAAAGACCCAGTGTATGTCCCTGGTGTAAGAAAGGCAATCACTAGGCAAGTCCGTGTCATTCTAAATTTAGCAAAGATGAACAACCTCTTTGAGGAAATAGGAAGAGGGACCCGCCTCAAGCCCCTCAACAAACTGAGGCATACCCAGCACAGCCACTGCCCTTACAAATGTACAGCAATTGTCCCCCGCCTCAGCAAGCAGTGCTGCTGTAGACCTCTACAGCACAATTCCCATCTCCTTACTTCCTGGGGAGCCACGAAAGAAGGTCCCCACAGGAGTTAGGGCACCCTTACCCTGAGGCACTGTTGGGAACAAGCCCCCCCAAATCCGGCCATAAACTGGCCCCAAAACTGGCCATAAACAAAATCTCTGCAGCACTGTGACATGTTCATGATGGCCATAACACCCACGCTGGAAGGTTGTGGGTTTACTGGAATGAGGACAAGGAATACCTGGCCCGTCCAGGGTGGAAAACCACTTAAAGACATTCTTAAGCCACAAACAATAGCATGAGTGATCTGTGCCTTAAGAATAAGGGATACTTTTAGTTAATCTAATATCTATAGAAACAATGCTAATGACTGGCTTGCTGTTAATAAATACGTGGGTAAATCTCTGTTCAGGGCTCTCAGCTCTGAAGGCTGTGAGACCAATGATTTCCCACTTCACACCTCTATATTTCAGTGTGTGTGTCTTTAATTCCTCTAGTGCTGCTGGGTTAGGGTCTCCTCAACCGACCTGGTCTCAGGAAGTGGTGCCCATTCATGGGGGCTCGAATACAGGTCAAAGGATCGCTGGAGCAACGATTGGAGAATGTGGAACTAGCTGGAGGGCATCCGAGTACTCTTAAAGCAATCCCCGTGATGAGTCAGAAGGGGAGCTCGGAAGCATCAGGGTAACAATGGGACAAATGTGGGCTGTGGTTCGTTCTACCTTGGAACTTTTTCACACTGATAATGAGGAGGAAGGAGAGTATAACAAAGTAACAGTAGAGGTTACAGACCAGGTTTATTTGCCACCTAAAGCTAAAGCAGAAAAGGAGGGAGAAGTTCATCCCTATCCTTCTGCACCCCCTCATTATTATTTTGAAGAAAATGACCCTCCAGATCTTTCTTTTCTGGAGGACACTGGGTGAAAAGTAGTTGCCCTGGTGACTGTTCGAGCACCGCCTTGAGCGACTGCTCTTAGTTCTATTCAGGCAGGAATTCAGCAAGCTAGACAAAAGTGGGATTTAGAGGCTTGGCAGTTCCCTGTTTGAATACACCCCCCAGATCAACAGGGAAATATTATAGCTACATTTGAGCCTTTTCCTTTTAAATTACTCAAAAAAATTAAACAAGTTATAAATCAGTATGGACCAGGTTCTCCTTTTGAAATGGGACTGTTAAAGAATGTTGCTGTTTCCAGTTGGATGATTCCTACTGACTGGGACACTCTTACTCTAGCTTGTCTAACTCCTGCTCAGTTCTTACAATTTAAAACTTAGTGGGCAGACGAAGCTTCCATTCAGGCTGCTCACAATGCCTGGGCCCAACCTCAAATTAATATAACTGCAGACCAACTTTTGGGGGTTGGTGGCTGGGCTGGTTTACATGCACAAGTGGTCAAGCAGGATGATGCCATAGAACAGCTTAGAGGAGTGTGCATTAGAGCTTGGAAAAAAACACTTCATATGGAGAACAATACCCTTCATTTAGTGCTATAAAACAGGGACCAAGAGAACCATATGTGGATTTTATAGCTTGGTTACAGGAGTCTCTTAAAAAGATGATTGCAGATTTGGCTGCTTAGGATATAGTGTTGCAGTTATTAGTTTTGACAATGTTAATCCCTATTGCCAGGCTGCTCTGCGACCTATCAGAGGGAAAGCACATTTAGTTGATTATAACAAGGCCTGTGATGATATCAGAGATAATCTACATAAAGCTACTTTGTTGGCACAGGCGACGGCAGGACTGAGAGTGGATAAAGGAAATACTCTATTTCCTGGAGCTTGTTTTAACTGTGGGAAGCATGGTCATACTAAAAAGAATTTAAAAAAAAAATCAGCAAGTCAGGCCACCAGATAGGTGAAAAAAGAAAACTGCTCATCCTGAAATATGTCTAATGTAAAAAAGGAAAACTTTGGGCTAATCAGTGTCACTCTAAGTTTGATAAAGAAGGGAACCCGATTTTGGGAAACTCCCTGAAGGGCCCATCCCAGGCCCTGTTCTAAACCAGGACATTTCCAGCTCAGGCCATTCCCTCACCCCCATACATTATCTGTCCCCCACCATAGCCCATAGTGCCGCAGTAGATTTATGCTGCACAAAAGCTGTGAGCCTTCTGCCTGGGGAACCCCCGCAAAAGGTCCCAACAGGAGTCTGTGGACCGTTGCCAGGAGGGACAATGGGATTACTTTTAGGAAGGTCTAGTTTAAGTTTAAAAGGGGTACAAATACACACTGGAGTCATTGATTCAGATTACAATGAGGAAATTCAAATTGTGATATCTACTTCTGTTCCCTGGAAAGCACAGCCAGGAGTGTGCATAGCACAGCTCCTGAGTGTGCCATATGTGGGAATGGGAAAAAGTGAAATTAAATGAACTGGAGGATTTGGAAGCACAAATAAAAAAGGCAAGGCAGCTTATTGGGTAAATCAAATTACTGATAAACATCCTATCTGTGAAATAACTATCCAGGGAAAGAACTTTAAAGGTTTGGTAGATACTTTTTTTTTTTTTTTTTTTGGTAGGAGTGGACATTTCAATCATTTCTCTACAGCACTGGCTGTCCATGTGGCCAATTCAGCCCACTCAATTTAACACAGTGGAAACTGCTAAAGCTCCAGAAGTGTAAGAAGTGTATCAAAGTAGCTATATTTTGCATTGTGAAGGACCCGATGGACAACCTGGGACTGTTCAACCAATTGCAATTTCTGTACCTATAAATTTATGGGGCAGAGAATTATTATGACGATGGGGAGCACAAGTTCTAATTCCATAACAATTATACAGCCCTCAAAGTCAACATATGATGCACGAAATGGGGCATGTCCCGGGTATAGGAGTAGAAAAAAATTGCAAGGTTTGAAAGAACTGCTTCAAACGGAAAGAAAAATTTCCTGCCAAAGATTAGGATACCATTTTTGATGGTGGTCACTGTTAAGCCTCCAGAACCTATACCTTTAAAATGGTTAACAGATAAGCCAATTTGGATAGAATAATGGCTGCTAAGCAAAGAGAAACTGGATGCTTTAGAGAAATTAGTTACTAAACAATTAGAAAATGGGCACATAGCTCCAACATTTTCCCCTTGGAATTCTCCAGTTTTCATAGTTAAGAAAAAATCAGGTAAATGGAGAATGTTAACTGACTTAAGAGCCATCAATTCAGTTATACAACCTATGGAAACATAACATCCAGGATTGCCTTCTCCTACTATAATTCCAAAAAATTGGCCTTTGATAGTCACAGATTTAAAAGACTGTTTCTTTACTACCCTTTTAGCTGAGCAAGACTGTGAAGGGTTTGCATTTACAATTCCTGCAGTAAACAACCTGCAGCCTGCTAAGCGTTTTCGTTGTTTCACAGATGGGTCTAGTAATGGTAAAGCTTCTTATTCTGGATCAAAAGGTAAAGTTTTCCAGACACCCTATACTTCAGCTCAAAAAGCGGAGCTTGTATCTGTAAATGAGGTATTGACTGCTTTTGATATGCCTGTTAATGTGATTTCTGATTCTTCATACATGGTTCATTCCACACAGTGAATTGAAAATGCTCAGTTACGATTTCATACAGATGAACAACTGATAATAAAAACAAAAAAGGGGGAGAAACAGGGATTATGGGATAGCCCATACACAATTGAATCTAGCATTAATAACTTTCAAATTTTTGAGCCTGCCCAAAGGCCAGATGTTACCAGCAGCTGAACAGCATCTACAGAAACCAGCTGCAAAGACAGAAGCAGAATAACTGGTTTGGTGGAGAGACCCAATAACAAAAAGTTGGGAAATAGGTAAAATTATAACTTGGCATAGAGGTTATGCTTGTGTTTCTCCAGGACCGAATCAACAACTGATTTAGATACCATCAAGACACCTGATATTTTATCATGAGTCAGATGCTGAGGAAGAGATAAAAAGCACAATCATCATTGAAATTAGAGCTTCTGGCTGGGCGCAGTGGCTCACGCCTGTAATCCCAGCACTCTGGGAGGCTGAGGTGGGCGGATCACAAGGTCAGGAGATCGAGACCATCCTGGCTAACACGGTGAAACCCCGTCTCTACTAAAAATACAAAAAATTAGCTGGGTGAGTTGGCGGGTGCCTATAGTCCCAGCTACTCAGGAGGCTGAGGCAGGAGATTGGCATGAACCCGGGAGGCAAAACTTCAGGTTTTGCCAAGAATGACACTGTAAATGTAACAAAGCTTCTGTGCTTGTTAGTGAACACCAAATCAGCTACTCTCCTGTATTCGGAGATCAGGATGAAATGAAAAGAACAAGCAGGCCGGGTGTGGTGGCTCATGTCTGTAATGTCAACACTTTGGGAGGCTTAGGTGTGCGGATCACCCGAGGTTGGGAGTTTGAGACCAGCCTGACCAACATGGAGAAACCCCGTCTCTACTAAAAATGCAAAATGAGCTGGGCATGGTGGCACAAGCCTGTAATCCCAGCTTTGGAGGCTGAGGCAGGATAAGTGCTTAAACCTGAGAGGCGGAGGTTGCTGTGAGGCAATATTGCACCATTGCACTCCAGCCTGGGCAACAAGAGTGAAACTCCATCTCAAAAAAAATAAAAAATATAAAAAGACCCCCAACCTTGTCTAGACTGTGGGGTTTCAGTTTCACCCCAGGGGGGTCCTGGTTGGGTTAGAACCCTGAATCTGGTTTGAGTTCGAATCCTAAAGAATAAAGGGAATAAAGGCTGTAGCCACTGAGCTACTCAATCTGGTCTCGTTCTGGCTTTTGTGTGTCTATCTGTATTTTTGGTCTAAATATTTGGCCCAACAGAAGTTAAAGCCTTTGATGTTCTCAGCAAAAGCCTTCTGAGATCTCTAGTTTATCTGTGTGCTCAACTGGAACAAAGAGACTCCATAAACTAGAAAAACCTAAAGAAAATGGCACGCGTGAAAAAATGAGAGCCAACTCCTGTTTGTTGTTCTGTCCACCTCCCTATCTCACTCCTCCTTCTGCCTTTGCTGTGGTCCCTTGGTGTTTCTGTCTTTCTGGGAACCTGAGATTCAGTGTAGGAGTGAAGTCCATGATTTTAAAGCCTTCATGTCTCTGCTTTTTAACTCTGCCTGCTTTGCTGAGCTCTTATAATGAGAAATAAACCATTCAGAACAGAAACAACAGGGCATCAGAAAACCAACTTCAGACAGAGCTCTGGCAAGTACCTCCCCAGAGGGGAAGGGCTTACTAAAGGATTTAATCTTGAAAGGACCAAAACAAGAAGCTCTAACCTTAAGCTTGCTAGGTTTTCTGGGACTCGAGTTGGTTATATATTATGGACCATTCTAGCCACACACACACACACACACACACACACACACACACACACATACACTTTTTTGAGACAGAGTCTTGCTCTGTTGCCCACGCTGGAGTGCAGTGGTGTGATCTTGGCTCACTGCAACCTCCACTTCCCAGGTTCGAGCAATTCTCCTGTCTCAGCCTCCTGAGTAGCTGCGATTACAGGTGTGCGCCACCATACCCGGCTGATTTTTGTGGGTTTAGTAGAGATGAGGTTTCACCATGTTGGCCAGGCGGGTCTCAAACTCCTGATCTCAAGTGATCCACCCACCTTGGCCTCCCAAACTGCTTGGATTACAGGCATGAGCCACTGTGCCCAGACTACACACACACACACACATATATATATATGTGTGTGTGTGTGTGTGTGTGTGTATATATATATATTTTTTTTCTTTTTCTTTTTGACACAGAGTCTTGCTCTGTTGCCCAGGATGGAGTATGGTAGTACAATCGCGGCTCACTGCAACCTCCACCTCCCAGGTTTGAGCGATTATCCTGCCTCAGCCTCCTGAATAGCTAGGACTACAGGTGCACACCACCACACCCAGTTAATTTTTGTATTTTCAGTAGAGATGGGGTTTTGTCATGTTGGCCAGGCTGGTCTCAAACTCCTGGCCTCAAGTGATACACCTGCCTCAGCCTCCCATAGTGTTGGGATTACATGAATGAACCACTGTACCTGGCCTCTAGTGCACACTTTAAATCTGACGGCCAAATTACATGAAAGAAAATTCAAAACTCAAATAGTTACTATTTTTAAAAACCCTAAAATTAAAAAGTCTCAGTTCTTTTGCCTATCATTTTTTTTCCCTGCCTACTTTGAATCTGCTGATTTGTCTACTGATGTTGAGATAAGACTTACTGTCTGTGGTGTTACCAATTCAAGGTTACTTGGCTGAAGAAAAACAAAAGAATAAAACAATTCTTTATTTTTTTCTCTTTTTGAGAGAAGTTCTCACTCTGTTCCCGAGACTGGAGTGCAGTAGTGGGATCATAGCTCACTGTTATCTCAACCTCCCAGGCTCAAGTAATCCTCCTGCCTCATCCTCTCTAGTAGCTGGGACAATAGGCATGCACCACCATGCCTGACAATTTTTTACCTTATTCTTAGTAGAGATTGGGTCTCACTATGTTGTGCAGGCTGGTCTCAAACTCCTGAGCTCAAGTGGTCCTCTTGCCTCAGCCTCTCAAAGTGCTGGGATAGAGACATGAACCACTGTGCCCAGACAAAAGAGTTCTTTTATAAATACAAATAATTTAAAAAGTATTGATAAAATAAAAATAGAAATGTCTTCAGAATTGTCAGCATACATTTTTGACTGTGTTTTATATTTACATTTGTTAGATATTTTAAGGTGCTAGGGTTTTGCATGAAGGTTATAAAGCTATAAACACAGAAAAAAAGAATATTTGTTTATGTGATTTTTTAAATACATAAGACAAATTTAATAAGGTTAGTTGAACAAAAATAATGGAATTTTCTGAGTTATTGGTAAAATACCCATGTATTTAACTTTGAAGTCCTCACTTACATGAATACCTGATATTCACAGGCTATAACATGGTTAACAAGAAAATAACCTAGAAATGATGACTAGCTTTGTCTAATACCTCAGTTCTCACAAATACTCTAGATAAACTGTCAAAAATAAGTAAATGTAAATGGATAAATGTCTATACAAGACATCTTAATGTATTTTTGAAATTTTTGTGGGACAGTGTCTCTGTCTGTCACCCAGGCTGAAATGCAGTGGCATGATGACAGCTCACTGCAAACTTGAGCTCCTGCACTCAACGGATCCTCCCACCTCAGCCTCCCAAGTAGCTGTTAATTACAGGCATGCACCACCATGGTCAGCTAAATTTTATTTTTTTTGTAGAGTCAGCATCTCACTATTTTGCTCAGGCTGGTCTCATGATACTCCTGACTTGGCCTCCTAAAGTGTTGGGATTACAGGTGTGAGCCACCATGCCCAGCCTATTTTTGAAATTTTAGTTATTTTAAATTAAATAATAGATACTCATTAAATATCTGGGTTATTTCCAATTTAAAACTTATGTTTTAGCCCAGGCACTGTGGCTCATGCTTGTAATCCCAACAATTTGGAAGGCCAAGGTGGGTGGCTCACCCAAGGTCAGGAGCTCAAGATCAGCCTGATCGACATGGTGAAACCCCATCTCTACTAAAAAATACAAAAAATTAGCCAGGTGTGGTTGTGGGTTCCTGTAATCCCAGATACTCGGGAGGCTGAGGCAGGAGAATTGCTTGAACCTGGGGGGTGGAGGTTGCAGTGAACTGAGATCGCACCATTGCACTCCAGCCTGGGCAACAAGAGTGAAAATCCATCTTAAAAAATATGTTTTAGGAACACATAATTCTAAATTATGAAATTATTCTCATATGTAAGATACTACTATATGACAATTCAAGACTTCTTGCTTCCTAGGTTTTTTATTAAAATAAGGGTTACTAAGTGTTAATATCTTGGTAGATATATGTGATTAAGACTACTAGATACAAGAGAAACAATTCTGTATGCAAAATGTATACCGGTTTTTGTTTCAGAGAAAGTAAATTTGCTTAGAGATTTTTAAGGATTATTTTAAATTGAAGGAATAAAAAAGATAGATAAAACTAAATGTGTATAAAAAGTTGGGAAAGATGGAAAAAATATACAAGGTTATTAAAAGTTTATGTAAATCTTACCTCGAGGTCAAAACTGATTGAGATCAGATAGACTGTTTATAAAGTTTATTTAAATTAGCTGTAATATTAAAAACATAGTGATAAAAAAACTAAAAATTGTGGTTAAAATAACAAGGTTTTCTTAATGTATTTATTTGCTCATAATAAGAGGTAATAAATATTGACTTTTAATCCTGAAATCTGTTACTATAAAAACTTTTCAGATTTGTATATCAGAAGTTCAACTTTTCCTGTACTTTCATGTTACACATGACTCACAGATCACATCATTGTCTCCTGTTCCTTCTTGAGAAGGAATAAAAGGTTTGGGTTTCCTGCTTGGCTGGGATGATAACTCCTTCAGCTTTTTCATCAGGTCTAATTTTGTACTTTTGGCTTTTAAATATGTCTTAATTACTTCATGTAACCAGGAAACTTCTATGCTATCACTGTGAGCTATGGATCTCCACTGCTCTATGCTCTGGTTTTCCTGTTGACATTCCTCTGTAATATTATGCTCACTCATGATCCTGGACACACTCTTTCTATGTCTAATTAAATTCAAGTCTCCTTGTCATCGGGTTTGACTTCCAAGTGATATAAATTAGCTTCCCATAAGAAGAGACAATTATGCCACAGGAGCTTTTAACCTTTAAATGACTGGACTGTAATAAAGATTTTAGGTTTTATCAAGATAATCCATGTGTTGCCTTTATTGTTTTTTTAATTCCTTGGGAAAACTGAGGGTTTTCAGTTTTCACATCCATGTAACCTTCTATGTTGCTTTTGATATCTTTTGGTTGTCACGCTAATTAAATGAATGACTGTTATTTAAAAATGACATGTGGCTGTGTGCAGCGGCTCATAACTGTAATTCCAGCCCTTTGGGAGGCCAAGGTGGGTGGATCACTTGAGCCCAGGAGTTCAAGTCCAGCCTGGGCAAAATGGCAAAACCCCATCTCTACTAAAAATACAAAAGCTAGCTAGGTGTGGTAGCACGAGCTCATAATCCTGGCTACTTGGGAGACTAAGGTGGAGAATCACCTGAGCCTGGGAGGTTGAGGCTGCAGTGAGCCATGAATTCACCACTGCACTACAGCCTGGGCAACAGGGTGAGACCCTGTCTCAAAAAAGTAATAAAATAAAAAACAATAAACTGTCATTCTGTTTTGGTCAAATGTTTTCAATTTTTTGACATCTTTGCTAAAACTTAGTTGATAACATTGTATGGGAAGCATTGCCAAAAGATAAGTAACACTAAATCTTTTTTTCCTCTGAGACAAAAATATTGCTTTGTCACCCAGGCTGTAGTGCAGTGGCATGATCTAGATTCACTGCAACCTCTGCCCCAAGGTTCAAGCGATTCTCCTGCCTCATCCTCCCAAGTAGCTGGGACTACAGACACGTGCCACCACACCCAGCTAATTTTGTATTTTTAGTAGAGACAAGGTTTCTCCATGTTGGCCAGGCTGCTGTCAAACTCCTGACCTCTGATTATCTGTCCAATTTGGCTTCCCAAAGTGTTGGGATTACAGGCATGAGCCACTGTGCCTGGCCTAAATCTTCTTTTGGTTACATTTATAGGTATGTTATTAATATAAATATTTTAAACGTTATATAAATTATAAAAATCTAATATGGTATAAATCACAATTTTGATGATGTTAAATATTTTCTAAAGTTTTATTTGTATAGATATATTATTACTATAAATATTCTAAAGATTATGTAAAATTTGTGGAAGTCTGATGGATTAGATGTGTTGCCATCAGTCATGATTCTGGCTGTTATCATAAAATGCTACATATAATAGAAGTAACTAAATTTTCTCGCCAGTTGAGAACTTCTACTGGATTTTAACCAAAGGCTATTCTAAAATTTTGTCATCCACGTTGATTGTTTTAAGTTCTTCTCTAAAAACATTTACAGGCCAGGTGCAGTGCTGGAGGCTGTGCAGGGCATGTTGCTAGGCGTGGCACAGGGCACGGTGGCTCACGCTTGTAAATATCCCAGCACTTTGCAAGGCCAAGTTGGGTGAATTGCTTGAACTCAGAGGTTTGAAAGCAGCCTGGGCAACATGATAAAACCCTGTCTCTACAAAAATACAAAAATTAGCCAGGCATGATGGTGCATGCTTATGGTCCCAGCTACTTCGGAGGCTTAGGTAGGAAGATGGCTTGAGTTTGGGAGGGAGAGATTGTGGTGAGCCAAGATCATGCCACTGCACTCCATCCTGAGTGATAGAGCCAGACCATGCCTCAAAAAAAAAAAGCCTTTACAATCAGCTATCATCTAAATTACTTTTAATGGAAAGGACTCTGACAAGTTCTCTTAAATATGGTTTCTGATAACTTTGGGGATCATACCATTGGACTAGGAAAATCTTCCAGGACTCTAAAAAGCTGAATGAGAACTTCTAATTGAAATCAAGCAAAACACAAAAAAACTGAATGAGAATTGCTATTTGAAATCAAACAGAACAAGATTTAGTTACATGGGAATGAACTCATAAAAGAAGAAAAAGATTTTATTCATGGCCTTTTCATTGGAAACATTGTTGATTCTCTTTATGTTTTGTTTTCCAAAGTCAAGAATTTTTTTTTTCTTTTCAGCTATTTTTAACTCACAATACATTAGATAAACTACATTGTGAACAAAAATTTGAGCCATTTATCTGTCTCTCTAACTGATTACTCCAGAATTCAGAAGCCATTAGTGAGCATTCTTAAATTATGACAATATAATTATTTGCATAATTTTAATGTGAATCTGTTTTTGATAACAGGATTCAATTGGAGACACTGTTTGTTTTATCAAGGCTTTAACTCGAATGGCAGCTACAACCAGACCACTTTAAGGAATTGAGGTTGACTTTATAGCACCAATACAAAGCCCCTTATAATGACTGGCTTGGTGTCTTGTCTACAAGGGTCCTTTATATTCACTGTCCTTCTGGTAAGAAGTAAAGAATGTCACTTTCTGACGGGCCTAGGAACCTCAAGATATTTGGGGACCTTGAGAAGAGAGGACTACACCCATTCATAAAAGTATTACAGGAGAGCTGGCAAGATGTCTGAGTAGGAAGAGCTCTGACCTGCAGCACCTAGTGAGATCAACACAGAAGGCAGGTGGTTCATGCATTTCCAACTGAGCCTCCACTGGTGATACCCAGGCAAACAGGGTCTGGAGTGGACCTCCAGCAAACTCGAGCAAACCTGCAGCAGAGGGACCTGACTGTTAGAAGGAAAACTAACAAACAGAAAGGAATAGTATCAACAGCACCAACATCAAAGACCAAAGGTAGATAAATCCACAAAGATGGGGAGAAACCAGTGCAAAAAGGCTGAAAACTCCAAAAGACAGAATGCCTCTTCTCCTCCAGAAGATCACAACTCCCCGCCAGCAAGGGAACAAAACTGGACAGACAATGAGTTTGACGAATTGACAGAAGTAGGCTTCAGAAGGCGGGTAATAACAAACTCCTCCGAGATAAAGGAGCATGTTCTAACCCAATGCAAGGAAGCTAAGAACCTGAAAAAAAAGGTTAGATGAATTGTTAACTAGAATAACCAGTTTAGAGAAGAACATAAATGACCTGATGGAGTTGAAAAACCCAGCACAAGAACTTCATGAAGCATACACAAGTATCAATAGCTGAATCAATCAAGCAGGAGAAAGGATATCAGAGATTGAAGATCAACTCAATGAAATAAAGCAAGAAGACAAGATTAGAGAAAAAAGAGTGAAAAGAAATGAACAAAGCCTCCAAGAAATAGAGGACTATGTTAAAAGACTGAATCTACGTTTGACTTGTGTACGTGAAAGTGACAGAGAGAATGGAACCAAGTTGGAAAACACTCTGCAGGATATTATCCAGGAGAACTTCCCCAACCTAGCAAGACAGGCCAACATTCAAATTCAGGAAATACAGAGAACACCACTAAGATACTTCTCAAGAAGAGCAACCCCAAGACACAAAATCATCAGATTCACCAAGGTTGAAATGAAGGAGAACATATTAAGGGCAGCCAGAGAGAAAGGTTGAGTTACCCACAAAGGGAAGTCCATCAGACTAACAGTGGATCTCTTGGCAGAAAGCCTACAAGCCAGAAGAGAGTGGGGGCCAATACACAACATTCCTAAAGAAAAGAATTTTCAAGCCAGAATTTCATATCCAGCCAAACTAAGCTTCATAATTGAAGGAGAAATAAAATCCTTTACAAGCAAATGCTGAGAGATATTGTCACCACCAGGCCTGCCTTACAAGAGCTCCTGAAGGAAGCACTAAACACGGAAAGGAACAACTGGTAACAGCCACTGCAAAAACATACCAAATTATAAAGACCATTGACACTATGAAAAAACATCATCAACTAATGAGCAACATAACCAGCTAGTATCATAATGACAGGATCAAATTCACACATAACAATATTAACCTTAAATGTAAATGAGCTATATGTCCCCAGTTGAAAAACACAGACTGGCAAATTGGATAAAGAGTCAAGACCCATCAATATGCTGCATTCAGGAGACCCATCTCATACACATAGGCTCAAAATAAAGGGATGGAGGAACATTTACCAAGCAAGTGGAAAGCAACAAAAGGCAGGGGTTGCAATCTTTGTTTCTGATAAAACAGACCTTAAGCCAACAAAGATCAAAAGAGACAAAGAAGGTCATTACATAATGGTAAAGGGATCAGTGCAACAAGAAGAGCTAACTATCCTAAAGATATATGCACCCAATACAGGAGCTGTCAGATTCATAAAGCAAGTTCTTAAAGACCTACAAAGAGACTTAGACTCCCACACAATAATAGTGGGAGACTTTAACACTCCACTGTCAATATTAGATCAATGAGACGGAAAATTAACAAGTATATCCAGGACTTGAACTCAGCTTTGGACCAAGTGGACCTAAAAGATATCTACAGAACTCTCCACCCCAAATCAACAGAATATACCTTCTTCTCAGCACCACATTGCACTTATTCTAAAATTGACCACATAATTGGAAGTAAAACACTCCTCAGGAAATGCAAAAGAATGGAAATCATAACAAACAGTCTCTCAGACCACAATGCATTCAAATTATTATGCAGGATTAAGAAACTCACTCAAAACCTCACAACTACATGGAAACTGGGCAACCTGCTCCTGAATGACTACTGGGTAAATAACGAAATGAAGGCAGAAATAAAGATGTTCTTTGAAACCAATGAGAACAAAGACACAACGTCCCAGAATCTCTGGGACACATTTAAAACAGTGTGTAGAGGGAAATTTATAGCACTAAATGCCCACAAGAGAAAGCAGGAAAGATCTAAAATTGACACCCTAACATCAAAATTAAAAGAACTGGAGAAGCAAGAACAAACAAATTCAAAAGCTAGCAGAAGACAAGGCATAAATAAGATCAGAGCAGAATTTAAGGACACAGAGACACGAAAAACCCTTCAAAAAATCAATGAATCCAGGAGCTGTTTTTTTTAGAAGATCAACAAAACAGACCACTAGCCAGACTAATAAAGAAGAAAAGAGAGAAGAATCAAATAGATGCAATAAAAAATGATTAAGGGGATATCACAACTGATCCCACAGAAATACAAATTATCATCAGCGAATACTACCAAGACTAAACCAGGAAGAAGTCAAATTCCTGAATAGGCCAATAACAAGTTCTGAAATTGAGGCATTAATTAGAGCCTACCAACCAAAAAATGTCCAGGACCAGACAGATTCACAGCTGAATTCTATGAGAGGTACAAAGAGGAGCTGGTATCATTCCTTCTGAAACTATTCCAAACAATAGAAAAAGAGAGAATCCTCCCTAACTCATTTTATGAGGTCCGCATCACCTTGATACCAAAAAAACCTCACAGGGACACAACAATAAAAGAAAATTTTAGACCAATATCCCTGATGAATATCGATGCAGAAATCCTGAATAAAATACTGGAAAACTGAATCCAGCAGCACATCAAAAAGCTTGTACACCATAATCAAGTCGGCTTCATCCCTGGGATGCAAGGGTGGTTCAACATATGCAAATCAATAAATGTAATCTATCATATAAAGGGAACCAATGACAAAAACTACATGATTATCTCAATAGATGCAGAAAGGGCCTTTGACAAAATTCAACAGCCATTCATGCTAAAAACTCTCAATAAACTGGTATTGATGGAACGTATCTCAAAATAATAAGTGCTATTTATAACAAACCCACAACCAATAACATACTGAATGTGCAAAAACTGGAAGCATTCCCTTTGAAAATCAGCACAAGACAAGGATGCCCTCTCTCACTACCCCTATTCAACATAGTATTGGAAGTTCTGGCCAGGGCAATCAGGCAAGAGAAAGAAATAAAGGGTATTCAATTAGGAAAAGAGGAAGTCAAATGGTCTCTGTTTGCAGATGACATGATTGTATATTTAGAAAACCCCATCATCTCAGCCCAAAATCTCCTTAAGCTGATAAGCAACTTCAGCAAAGTTTCAGGATACAAAATCAATGTGCAAAAATCACAAGCACTCTTATACAGCAATGACAGACAAACAGAGAGCCAAACTGTGAGTGAACTCCCATTCACCATTGCTATAAAAAGAATGAAATACCTAGGAATACAACTTACAAGGATGTGAAGGACCTCTTCAAGGAGAACTACAAACCACTCCTCAAGGAAATAAGAGAGGACACAAACAAATGGAAAATCATTCCATGCTCATAGATAGGAAGAATCAGTATCTTGAAAATGGCCATACTGCCCAAAGTAATTTATAGATTCACTGCCATCCCCATTAAAGTACCATTGACTTTCTTCACGGAATTGGAAAAACATACCTTAAATTTCATGTGGAATCAAAAAAGAGCCCGAACAGCCAAGACAATCCTAACCAAAAAGAACAAAGCTGGAAGCATCATGCTACCTGACTTCAAACTATAATACAAGCTACGGTAACCAAAACAGCATGGTACTGGTACCAAAACAGAGATATAGATCAAAGGAACAGAAAAGAGGCCTCAGAAATAACACCACACATCTACAACCATCTGATCTTTGACAAACCTGAGAAAAACAAGCACTGGGGAAAGGATTCCCTATTTAATAAATGGTGTTGGGAAAACTGGCTAGCCATAGGCAGAAAGATGAAACTGGATCCCTTTCTTACACCTTATACAAAAATTAACTCAAGATGGATTAAAGACTTAAACATAAGACCTAAAGCCATAAAAACCCTAGAGGAAAACCTAGGCAATACCATTCATGGCATAGGCATGGGCAAAGACTTCATGACTAAAACACCAAAAACAAAGGCAACAAAAGCCAAAATTGACAAATGGGACCTAATTAAACTAGAGAGCTTCTGGACAGCAAAAGAAACTATCAGAGTGAACGGGCAACCTACAAAATGGGAGAAAATTTTTGCAATCTATCCATCTGACAAACAGCTAATATCCAGAATCTACAAAGAACTTAAACAAATTTACAAGAAAAAACAACCCCATTGAAAAGTAGGCAGAGGATGTGAACAGACACTTCTCAAAAGAGGACAATTATGCAACCAACAAACTTATGAAAAAAAGTTCATCTTCACTAGTCATTAGAGAAATGCAAATCAAAACCACAGTGAGATACCATCTCATGCCAGTTAGAATGGCAATCATTAAAGAGTCAGGAAACAACAGATACTGGAGAGAGTGTGGAGAAATAGGAAGGCTTTTACACTGTTGGTGGGAGTGTAAATTAGTTCAACCATTGTGGAAGACAGTGTGGCTATTCCTCAAGGATCTAGAACTAGAAATACCATTTGGACCAGCAATCCCATTACTGGGTATATACCCAAAGGATTATAAATCATTCTACTACAAAGACACATGCACATGTATGTTTATTGCAGGACTGTTCACAATAAAAAAGACTTGGAACCAACCCAAATGCCCATCAATGATAGACTGAATAAAGAAAATGTGGCACATACACACCATGGAATACTATGCAGCCATAAAAAAGGATGAGTTCATGTCCTTTGCAGGGACATGGATGAAGCTGGAAACCATCACTGTCAGTAAACTAACACAAGAACAGAAAACCAAACACCATATATTCTCACTCATAAGTGGGAGTTGAACAATGAGAACACATGGACACAGGGAGGGGAACATCACACACTGGGGCCTGTTGAGGGGTGGGGGCAGGGGGAGGGATAGCATTAAGAGAAATACCTAATATAGGTGATGGGTTGATGGGTGCAGCGAACCACCACAGAACATATATACCTATGTAACAAACCTGCACATTCTGCACATGTACCCCATAACTTAAAGTATAATTTAAAAAATGTAGGTTAAAAAAATTATTACAGACATAGTCTGATGCAAATCTTTGACTTGGCTAGCTTCAAGGCTCTTAAAAGTCTAAGATTCCTTATTAAAAATTTCCAACAAAGCCAATTTTAAGAAGCCCGTATGGCCAATAAATATTCTTGATGCACTTTATGGAAATAATCAGGCCAGGTATGATAAGACTAAAACTTATTTTGCATACAAATTGGTCCTACTATGATTTGTCTTTGATAAAATGATGGACTAGAGAGAATTTATGTTCCAAAAGAAAACTATGGCATATGCTATTAGATTCCAACCCTGATCATTGTTTTAGAGTTTTTATTATTTGCTATAATTTGGGCTGAATCCTGAATTATTTCCTGGCTCCAAGTGTTCCCTAGTGAATCTGAATATAATATATTTTTAAAAACTTGTTTTATCCTGTCAGGAATGAGATGTATTTTTGAAGGACTACTCAAACTTGCAATTACAATTCGATTATTATGATTATAGGATCTCGGGATTTCTCTTCCTTCTTGTCAAGGTCTTTACCTGATGTTTGTCTCATTAAAAAAAATGAGACTGATTACACTCTACTCAAGACTGAAGACGTGTACTTTAACCTATCTCTGTTACCAGCAAACCAAAGCCTTAACTTTCAGAATCTGTCAGGGACCCTGTGTGGTCCCTGGATCAACCACCCATGGGCTTATGAATGTATTGACCGCTGGCATATGAGAAGTAATTGTCTATTAGGTTATGTGACTCTTCCTCTTTCTGTTTATAACTCCAATGTTTCTGAACACTGAAGTAGTTCATCAAATTTATTTTCCAGGATTAGACAAACCATACCTTCAAACCAAGGAGATGAATTTTATCCTATGTTTGGCAGAAGTCGCTTGCCATGCTGGGGAGTAACCTCTCATGAACATATAATTAGAAATCTGTCAACCACTCTAGGTAACTTAGCAAATGAACTAGCTGAAGCCATAGCTACCAAACAAAGATCTTTAGACTCCTTAGCCAGGATAGTCATGGATGACGGAATAACTTTAGGCTACATAGTGGTGAAACAGGGAGAAATTCATATGGCAGCTAGCTAACACATCATGTTTTGTTTAAATCCGTACATCTTCTGAAGTTGAAACACATGTAAAAAAATAAGACAATATGAGAATTAATTATGACAAATCCTAGGGAAGAGGCTGAAAGAGCTGTAACACAAACAGGGCTGAGACATGCCCCTTGCTTTCCACATTGTGGGCAAAGAGAAGAAAAGAAGAGCTGTGACCCTTTGGGAAGCCTGACCTGGGAGCTCCCTGAGCCAGGGCTGTGATTCCCTCTTTGGGGCCCTGTGGTTCCTGGTATCTCCAAGCTTCTGGGTTCCACTGTGTTCCCAATGTGCCAGCTGTGGAAGCTGCTTGAGGTGCCCGTGGTCCAGCCATAGCCTTGCGGAGAGCTGGCGCCCGTGTTGGCACCTGGAGCTACCTGCCCCACTGCAGCAGCCAGCAAGTCTGACTGCACAGTGGCCAGACCCCATGCTCGCTCACACATCCCTTGCCATTCCATGCAGTCTCCCTTGGCAAACATGGGATCCCACCTGGTAGCATGAGCTGAGCACAGCCTGCCAGGCTGTGTGGGCGGGAACCAAGCAAAACTCAGGTAAAGGTGCCACCAGCCATAGAGGTTTCTGTCCAGAAAAGTGACACTCCAAAGATCCCGTAACACTGCTACTCTTCCCAGACTCTGGAAACTCTCAGTCTACTCTCTATCTTGCTGAGTTCAATTGTTTTAATTTTTAGCTCCCACAAATGAGTGAGAACATGCAAAGTCTGTCTTTCTGTGCCTGGCTCATTTTACTTAACATAATGTCCCCTAGTTCCATCCACGTTGTTGCAAAGGACAGAATCTTATTCTTTTTCATGGCCGAAGAGTACTCCATTGTGTATATGTACTATATTTTCTTTATCCCTTCATCTGTTGATGCACACCTAGGTTGCTTCCAAATCTTGGTTATTATGAATAGTGCTGAAATAAATATGGGAATGCAGCTATCTCTTTGATATACTAATTTTCCCTCCCTTGGGTATATACCCAGCAGTGGGATTGCTGGATCATATGATAGTTCTAATCCTTTTTTAATTTTTTGAGGGGCCTCCATATTGTTCTCCATAGTGAATGTACTAATTTACATTCCCACCAACAGAGTAAGAGGGTTCTCTTTTCTCTACATTCTTGAAAGCATTTGTTATTGCCTGTCTTTTGCATAAAAGCCATTTTAATGGGGGTAAGATGATATCTTATTGTAGCTTTGATTTGAATTTCTCTGATGATCAATGATATTGAGCATCTTTTCATATACCTATATGAGATTTATATATCTTCTTTTTTGTTTTTGCTCATATTTTGAGACAGGGTCTCACTCTGTCACCCAGGCTGGAGTGCAGTGGTATGATGATGGCTTACTGTAGTTTTGACTACCAGGGTTCAAGCAATCCTCCCACCTCAGCCTCCTGAGTAGCTGGGACCACAGGCATGCATCACCATGCCCAGGTAGTTTTTAAAATTATTTGCTATGTTTTTCAGGTTGGTCTTGAACTCCTGGGCTCAAGTGGTCCACCTGTCTTGGCTCCCAAAAGTGCTGGAATTACAGGTGTGAGCCACTGCGCCTGACCTGTGTGCCTTCTTTTGAGAAATGTCTGTTCGGATCTTTTGCCCATTTAAATAATTGGATTATTAGTTTTTTTCTTATAGAGTTGTTTGAACTCCTTATATATTCTGGTTATTAATCCCTTGTCAGATATATAGTTTGCAAATATTTTCTTCCATTCTGTGGATTGTCTTTTCACTTTGTCCATTGTTTTCTTTACTATGCAGAAATTTTTGAACTTCATGTGATACCATTTGTTCATTTTTGCTTTGGTTGCCTGAGCTTTTGGAGTATTACTCAAGAAATCTGTGCCCAGACCAATTTCCTGGAGAGTTTCCCTAATGTTTTCTTTCAGTAGTTTCGTGTCCTTGACTTAAGTCTTTAACCCATTTGGATTTGATTTTTGTATATAGCACAAGAGAGGGTTCTAGTTTAATTATTCTGCCAATTAAATTATTCAGCCTCAGACTTTGGGAGGCTCGGGTGGGGAGATCATGAGGGCAGGAGATCAAGACCATCCTGGCTAACACGGTGAAACTACGTCTCTACTAAAAATACAAAAAAAAAAAAAAAATTAGCGGGCATGGTGGGGGCACCTGTACTCCCAGCTACTTGGGAGGCCGAGGAGGAGAATGGTGTGAACCCGGGAGGTGGAGCTTGCAGTGAGCCCAGATCGCACCACTGCACTCCAACCTGAGCAACAGAGTTAGACTCCATCTCAAAAAATAAAAAAATATTCTGCAATTAATATTTAGTTTTCCCAGCACAATTTGTTGAAGAGACTGTCCTCTCCCCCATGTATATTCTTGGCACCTTCATTGAAAATGAGTTAGTTGTAAATGTAAGGATTTATTTCTGGGTTCTCTATTCTGTTCCATTGGTCTATGTCTCTGTTTTATGCCAGTACCAAGCTGTTTTGTTTACAATTGCTCTGTAGTATAATTTAACGTCAGGTGATGTGATTCTTCCAGTTTTGTTCTTTTTGCTAAGGATGACTTTTGGTATTCTGGGTCT
Organism: Homo sapiens; assembly: GCF_000001405.40. Lineage (NCBI taxonomy): Eukaryota > Metazoa > Chordata > Mammalia > Primates > Hominidae > Homo > Homo sapiens. The sequence goes on from NT_187363.1 coordinate 32,002, forward strand.
TTTATGGTTTCATATAAATTTTAGGATTTTTTTTCTTTTTCTGTGAAGAATGTTATCAGTATTTCAATAGGGATTGCATTGAATCTGTAGATTGTTTTGTGAAATATGGGTATTTTAACAATATTTACTCTTCCAATCAATGAACATGGACTATCTTTCCATTTTTTGGTGTCTTCTTTAATTTTTTTGCATTGGTGTTTTATAGTTTTCATGATAGAGATCTTTCACTTCTTTTGTTACGTTTATTCCTAGATATTTTATTTATGTGTAGCTATTGTAAATGGGATTACGTTCTTGATTTTCTTCTTTAGATTGTTCATTTTTGGCATTTAGAAATACTACTGATTTTTGTAGTTTGATTTTGTATCGTGTGACTCTGAATTTGTTGATCAGTTCTAATAGTTTTTTGGTGGAGTCCTTAGGTTTTTCCAAATATAAGATCAAATCACCTGCAAACAAGAAAACAATAATAATTTTACTTCTTTCAATTTGGATGTCCTTTATTGTTTTTCTCTTGTCTGGATTGCTCTAGCTAGGACTTCCAGTACTATGTTGAGTAACAGTGTTGGAAGTGGACATTCTTGCCTTGTTCCAGATCTTAGAAGAAAGGTTCAGTTTTTCTCTGTTCCGGATGATACTGGCTGTTGGTCTGTTGCCTATGGTTTTTATTGTGTTGTGGTATGTTCCTTCTAAATCTAGTTTTTTTTTTAGGGTTTCTTTTTATCACAGGGATGTTGGATTTTATTAAATCCTTTTCAGCATCAATTGAAATTACCATATGGTTTTTGTCCTTCATTCTGTTGCTATGATGTGTCACATTGATTGATTTACATATGTTGAACCATGTTGGCATTCTTGGGGTAAATCCCACTTAGACATGATGAATGGTCTTTTTCATAGAATGAGTATGGTAATACTACAGTCTTCTTTGTTTTTTGGAATAGTTTGAGTAGGATTGATAGTAATTCTTCCTTCAATGTTTGGTAAAATTAATCAGTGAAGCCATTGGATCCAGGCTTTTCTTTGCTAGGAGATGTTTTTTTATGGGTTCAATCTCATTTATCCATTTCTTCTAGGTGTGTTTTTTGGTTGTTTTTGTTTTTTTGTGGGTTTTTTTTTGTTTGTTTGTTTGTTTGTTTTTTGAGATGGAGTCTTGCACTGTCACCCAGGCTGGAGCTTGGTACAATCTCAGCTCACTGCAACTTCTGCCTCCCAGGTTCAATTGATTCTCCTGCCTCAGCCTCTGGAGTAGCTGGGAGTACAGGTGCACACCACCATGCCTGGCTAACTTTTGTATTTTTAGTAGAGATGGGGTTTCACCTTGTTGGCCAGGCTGGTCTTGAACTCCTGACCTCAGGTGATCACCTACTTTGGCCTCCCAAAGTGTTGGGATTACAGGCATGAGCCATGGTGCCTGGTCATTATTTGCAGGTTTATCAATTTATTGGAATATAGTTGGTCATAATAGTTTCTAATGATTCTTTGAATTTCCACAGTATCAGTTGGAGTGTCTCCTTTTTAATCTCTGGTTTTATGTATTTGAGTCTTCTCTCTTTTTTCTTAGTCTGGCTAAATGTTTGTTGATTTTGTTGGTCTTTAAAAAAATTAACTATTCATTTCATTGACATTTTATATTTTTAAATTTCAATTTCATTTATTTCTGCTCTGATTCTTGCTATGTTTCCTTCTGCTAATTTTGGTTTTGGTTTGCTCTTGCTTTTCTAATTATTTAAGATGCATTATTAGGTTGTTTATCTGAAGTTTTTCTACTTTTTTTGATGGAGGTGCTTTTTGCTATAAACTTACTTCTTAGTACTGTTTTTACTGTATCCCATAGTTTTGTTTTTTGTTTTTTGTATTTTTTTTTTTTTAAGAGAGAGTCTCGCTCTGTTGCCCAGGCTGGAGTGCAGTGGTGCAATCTTGGCTCACTACAAGCTCTGCCTTCTAGGTTCACGCCATTCTCCCTCCTCAGCCTCCCGAGTAGCTGGGACTACAGGTGCCCACCACCATGGCCGGCTAATTTTTGTTTTTTGTATTTTTAGTAGAGACGGAGTTTCACCATGTTAGCCAGGATGGTCTCGATCTCCTGACCTCGTGATCTGCCCGCCTCAGCCTCCCAAAGTGCTAGGATTACAGGCATGAGCCACTGCACCCGGCCTGTATCCTATAGGTTTTGTTTTGACTTTAAAGTTTTTCTTTTCTCAAAAACTCAGTGCCATGGTACCGGCTTCTAGTGCTTTTGGCAGTGAGCCCCTTTTACTTGATAACAGTGGTAGCTGGGACAACTTGGCAATGTAAATAAATACATGGCATCTAGATTGGAAAGGAAGAAGTACAGTTATCTTTATGTACGGATGACATGATCTTGCATTTAGAAAATCATAAGAAATTTACTAAAAAGTATTAGGACTCATGAACAAATTTAGGAATGTAATACTATATAAGATTGGTATAGAAAAATAACTGTATTTCTTTACCAAGAAATCTTGAATCCAAAAATGGAATTACAAAAATAAATCTTGTTACAATAGAATTAAAACTGGGGTAAATTTAACATAAGAAGCTTAAACTTGAACACTAAAAACTACAATACATGGTTAGTGTTGGAAACACCCAGGTACCATCCCTGAGCCTTCTCTCCTTGGCTCTGAGGACTTTACCTTCACGGGGTGAGGAAAGGTGTTGCATTCTTGACTTTTACATTATATTAAGTGGGTTCGGGGTGAGGTATCTGCAAGCCAAATGAGTATTACAATCTCTACTTTTATGTATAAGAGACTGCGGCCCACAAAGAGAGGGAATGACAATCCATATCATGGAAGGTGAATTGTCAGACACTGATTTCCCCTATGTAAACCCTGCCAATCATCTTGTATTTAAAGGATCCCCAGATACCTTACCAATAGGTGTTCAAGAGAGAGGCCGGTAAATCTAGGCGTCTGAGACAAGGCTAAAGATTCCAATATTGGAGACAACAGGGCTCTGGGAAGATTAAGGTTGAGTTTTCTGGATCTGCAGAATAGAGTCACTGAGGACCAATTGCAAGATCAGAGGAGATGAAAGAACAAGTCAGAGCATGCTTAGGAAAAGAGAAAACCAGGGATAGGTTTTAGGCAAGAGTCACACTGAGGAAGTGCAGGTTCTTGGCGTCGCTCAGGATGAAATCCAAAAGTAAGCCTGTGGTGGAAGAAAGCAGCTCTACGGAGGCATTGGCGGTGTTACAGCCCTGCGTCCCCTCTGGCAGGGCAGGGAGCCCTCCGTGGGTTGTGCTGACAGAGTAGCAGCCTAGGGGTGGCTTGTAGTCATTTCTATAATTCACTTTTAATGGCATGCTAATTAAGGGGCGGGTTACTCAGAAACAGCTAGAAATGAGCAGTAACTTCCAGCTGTTTCCATGGCAAGGGGTGGGGACTTCCCGTGCTGCCATGGCATTGGCAAACTGTCATGGCGCTGGTGGGAGCATCTTCTGGTGATCTAAGGCGTGAGGTGCTTTCGCTGCCTCTCCCAGTTTCCTGAGTGCCTCTTACCTGAAACCCCTTCACACCCCCATCTATCCACCTACAAACTTCACTGCCCTTTCACCCCACCCCCGTTTCACATGCACTCCTACATCAACCCGGAGCATCCAAGCCAGCAATTTCCCTGTTAGGAACCTCGGTGATAGCCAGAGCTCTGAGAAACCCCTAGGCAGAACTCCTTGCCTAGTTTGTGGCAGACATCAGGGAAGGAAAGGAAAAGTTCTAGTCTTTCTCGCAATAAATAAATAAAGATAGGTAGATTTGATTGATTGGTGGATGGATGAATCGTGGGAGTTTATGGGCAAATATTTATCAGACACTGGAAGTGTAAGTTGTCACAAAGATTATGGAGTGCACCTGTCTTATGACCCTGTTATTTTATCCTACTATACACACCAGAGCATTTTTCCTAACTGTGTAAATTGAAGGCTCACAAATTAGTTTAGTGAGAGAAAAGATAACAGATTGGAAGAGAATTACCGTATTAATTAGTTGTGTTTTTAAAATTTAAAGTAAAATAGAGACATGATTTTTTTCATGCTTTCGAATGCATCTATAAAAAATAGACTTGAGGGCTGGGCGTGGTGGCTCACGCCTGTAATCCCAGCACTTTGGGAGGCCAAGGAGGGCAGATCACGAGGTCAGGAGTTCGAGACCAGCCTGACCAACATGGTGAAACCCGTCTCTACTAAAAATACAAAAATTAGGCGAGTGTGGTGGCGCCCACCTGTAATCCCAGCTACTCAGGAGGCTGAGGGAGGAGAATCGCTTGAACCCGGGAAGCGGAGGTTGCAGTGAGCCGAGATCGCACCATTGCACTCCAGCCTGGGCGACAGAGCGAGACTCTGTCTCAAAAAAAAAAAAAAAAGTTACTCATTGATAGCATAGACCAATTGGCCTCTATTGAAATTTCTCCATTATTTTCACAATGTCTCAGGCTGTGAAACCAGGATTTAATAAAGAACCAGAATGCCACAAATGTGTCACGTGGGTAGGGACCAGTCTTGATCCATTAAGTCCGGGTCTCTGGGTAACTGGACTCACAGCTGGGCAAAGCAGAATGTCCGACATGCGTTCCTAACAGGGGAACGTAGAGCCTCATGGGAAATGTAGTGTCACCTTCCAATGATGTTACCATGAAGGATCTTGGGAACCAGTTTTTCTCTCTGCTCATGCGCTGCCCCGCCCACTCCACCATTGTCCTCCGGAAGTGCTCAACCCAGAGGCGGTCCTGAGGCTGGGCAGGCATGGGGCTTTGTTCTATGTCCCTATGGGTCTGTGTGAGGGCGAAGAGGAACCCGTGGGCCTCGGGCGATCCCGGGGGGCCGGACCAGTGTTCCCCAGTTGTGGGAGCAGACGCGTGGGCGCATCACAGGCGAGCGAGGCCTGACGTGCCGGTGCGGGCCGCAGACAGTGGCAGGTGCTGGGAGGACACGCTTGGGGTCCCGGCAGTGAAGCGGGTTCCAGAGGCCCAGGAGCACGTAGCCGAGGCCGGTGGCCCTGGGCCTGGAGTCTGCAGGCCACGCTCCTGTCCTGCTGCTGAGGGACCCGGTTACCAACCCGCATGTCACTCAGTTTGCCCATCTGTCCCAGTGCTAACACACAGTTCTCGGGAGACGTTCCCCATTTCCAGAGTAGTAGTGTGAAATGCGTGAACCTCTAGTCTTAAAATTGGCGTTTGTATTAGTTGGGTTTCCTGGCGTCTCTTTAGCAAGTGAAGTTTCTGGTTCCCTCCTTCACTGTGTGACCTGCCTAGTCCTCCTGGGTCGCATTTACAGAAGTTTATACGAGACCTAGTTTCCAGGGAAGAACTCACTGATTCCACGAGGGAGATGGGGTAATGGATGATGGTCTTCAGCCTTAAGGGTACTTCAGTCTTAACTGTGTGTTACAAAGCTTGAAAGGGAGGGTTCCCTATGAATAAGAAGTGCACTTGAAAGAACAGCCATCTGGTCTAACCTCTCACTGGTGTTTCAGAGGAGGAAAAAAGGTCACAGGTGAAGATCCCAGTTTTCCTCTCTCAGGAAATATTAATTCTACTCCCTAGAATGCACAAGAATTGCAAAGACTAGGTGATGGTAGAAGGTTTGGACGAACTTTCAGAAAGTTGAGGTGAATTCAGCTGAGAAGAACAGGCAAGGACCTAGGAAATATTCCTTATTTGAAGGGGCCTGAAAGTGTGGTCTGTGGTACAGGAGTGACCTGTCATACCTGAGAAGATTAAAATACTCTCCAAACGCAGTCCCATTCCTTCAACCTTAGCTCGTTGTTTCCAGCATCTGAGATATATTAAACCTAGTCCATCACCAAATTTGGCATTAGATTGTGAAGTTCTATTGATTGTATTTGATTTTTAATTTAAGATTTTCTCCCCCTACGTAATTTTGTTAAAAACACAGAAGTGAATTCTGTTCACTTAGGTGTAACAGTTAATACTTGCTGTTTAAGGAACTAATTAAACCTTACTGGTTTATAAAAAACAACCACCATTTTATTTGTTTGAAGTTCTGTGGATCTGCATTTTGGTGTGGTGGGTTCAGCTGGGTAGTTGATATATTTGTGTTGCCTGGATCACAGAAGAGCCCTTAGTCACCTGGTGCTTTAACTGAGCCTGGTTGTTTTAAGATAGTTTCCTTCACAATCTGGTGGTTTGTGGTGACTCTTGGCTAGGCCCTGTGTCTCCAACAGGGTAGCTCCAGACCTCTTTACAGTATGACTGTGTCCAAAATGGCAAGAACCAATGGATATTTGCATCACATTTTCCATTGTCCATTCACTGGACAAGTCAGATGGAAAAGCCCAATTTATTGTCAGAGCATAATATGAGGGCATGGATAGAATGAAAGGTGTTATTGGGAAACATGAGTAGAATGGCGTACTGCAGGAAGTACATATTATGTACATTTTAAAAAACATAATTGTAGGCAAAAATTGCTGGTTTGCAAGATGCACTTTCCATGATGTTCAGGTATAGAAAAGCAAGATGTACTGTCATGGGAACACTCATATGAAGTTATATGTGGAATCCACATATTAATAGGAAAATAGTTAATACAGCCCAGTATATTGCTATAACATTTATTTTAGTGAACTTATAATGTTTCTTTGTATTAAATTATTAGATTATATATTTAGGTAATATTGTTGCTAAATTAGTAGGTAATACATATTTTTATTCAAAAATAAATTGTGCATCTAATGTCTACCAGTTAATGTACTTGTAGATGTATCTCATCTTAACTTGAGTCTTTGCTGCCCCTAATGGGGCGTGAAGGACTCTTCTCCCACGGGGAAGTTTTTCTTTTTCAGGAGGGAGGAGGGCTTTCCCAGGTAATGTGTCTAGAGTGTTGGGCAGAAGAATATTGGACCACACCACACCAGTTCTCTCCTTAATCCACGTCATTTGTCTTCTCTCCCAGCTATGTTTCCAGTGTCCTGTGGGTGTTTCCAAGAGCAATAAGAAACGAATAAATCTCTGGTGAGTTGTTTATTTGTTCTTCATTTTGTTTTACACTGTATTTTCTGAGTTTATGGGTGTCTGTGAATTAAAAAGGAAAAGTAGAAATAAGTAAAATTCAGCTTGAAGAAAATATACATAAATAAGTTAAAGCTGACCTATAGATACAGGCAGGTTATAAGAGCTTAGAGTTGTCTAAGTTGAGTGCAAATTTTCCTCTGAACTTTCTGATGCCGAGACAAAAAAGGCAGTCATGTTTGTTATGTGATTGGAATGGAACCCGAGAAGAGAGCATGCTGTGTTCTTGTGGGACAGGAAAGCTTATGTGCACTAAGTCTGAAACACCACCTTCATTGGTGACATAGATTATGTGCTGGAACATATTTCACACCAGGCTGGCAGTAAACACTTGTAGTGTTGTGCAGTGGAAATGGTCATCTGCCGCTAAAGCACAGCTTCCATCGTAAAGTATGCTCCTTGCTCAAAGAGTGTGGTCCCAAACAGCTTTTGGGAGGTCCTCCTTGATTCATGGATGAAACCTGGAACATCTTGAGGATTGAGTTAACCATAGGTCCTTAAATAACTCTCCACACCTTTTTCTTAGTTTATCTCTACATGCAGGGTGTGAAGCAGCCTGTTCAAAGTCATATTTTCTGGGAAATATTTCCAGTGTTTATTTGCACTTTAGCCCATTCGGTGTAGTCTTATTTCTTCTAAACTCACCATTAACCTAAATAATAGTCAAATTTAGGGGACTGTATTTGCCTTGCTCGAGTCTTCTACCATAGTTGAAACTGTCGTACTCGAGTGAGTTAGAGAGAAACGTCACACTTTGAGACGAATTCAGGAGTCCTTTATTAGCCAGTGACTGAGAGACTGCTAACGCACGAAATTCTCTCGGCCCTGAAGAAGGGAATAGATTTTCTTTTATACTTTGGTTTAGAGAGGGGAGGGGCAATTCTAGCTGCAGCAACTTTACAGAAGAAAAAAACAGACAAAAAAGTTAAAAAGAGAGATAGTTACAGGAAAACAAACTGTTCCAGGTGCAGGGGCTTTAAATTCACCACAAAGTGATAGGTCAGGGGGCTCTGGGCATTATCTGCCAGAAAAATGTGGGGGCTTTATGATACTATCTCTGAGTAAATTGCTGGGAACTGGGGACATCCCTTGCCTCAGCACTTTGTCAGTTAATTGCACTCTTTGATATGTTGAAAATCAGCTTGCACAAGTTAAAGTCCTTGAGGAAAGGGGGTGGGTAAGGAGCCCTTGATGTCTTGTAAATGAAGGAGTCAAATGGAGTTTGTCTGGTTTTCTCAGCTAAGGGAGAGTCTATTCATAATAAAAACAAAGTTAGCTATCTACGGAAGAGTCTATTCATGTTAATACAAGGTTGGGTATTACAAAACGTCTGTTCATGATCTGGAAATTCTTCTGTGTTAGTTCTGTTAAAAGCAAAACTTTAAAAGAGTTTAATTGAGCAATAAACAATTCACGAATCGGACAGTCCCCAGAATCACAGCAGATTCACAGAGACTCCAGCGCAGTCATGTGGTGGAAGAAGATTTATAGACAAAAGGGAAGAGGCATACCAAAATCGGAAGTGAGGTACAGAAACAACTCAGCGTTTGCCTTGTTTGAACACAGTTTGAACATTTGGCAGTGCCTGAGTGGTTGAAGTTTGGACATTGGGATTGGCCAAGATGTAGCTGTTGTTCCAGGTGCATATTCTCAAGTTAGTTTTTCATTCTTATCTACCTATTAAGGTAGGTTGCAGTTCATCCACAAGGACTCATATATAGAATTATGGAGCCCTTCTCAGGCCATACTTAGTTCACTTTAACAATGCCTTCCCTTTGGTTATTTTCTCAATTTTGAGAGATTGGCCAAAACTTCAGTCACTGGTGTCACTGTTACCATTGCAAATGTACTTACTTGGTTTAGAAACCCACTGGGAAATAGACCAGTGAGATTTGAAAAGGTGGAACAAGGACTTGAGTAGAAGGTATCTTCTTATGCTGGAACGTCCTGTTTACAGGAGAAAAACAAAACCTGGTTTGTTCTAGGATTTATGTGTTTCCTTAAAGTCTTAGTTTGATTATGTTACATTTAACATGAGTGACTCCATTTTGGTTTGGTTTGGTCTGTTGGGACCTATTGCATGAGCTTAGTTCAAAACCATGGCCTCCCATAATTTTGCTTAAAAAATTCCTCCTTTTGGCTGGGCACAGTGGCTCACACCTGTAATCCCAGCACTTTGGGAGGCTGAGGTGGGCAGATCACGAGGTCAGGAGATTGAGACCATCCTTGCTAATACGGTGAAACCCCGTCTCTACTAAAAATACAAAAAATTTGCCAAGCATCGTGGCGGTTGCCTGTAGTCCCAGCTACTCAGGGGGCTGAGGCAGGAGAATGGCCTGAACCCAGGAGGCAGAGCTTGCAGTAAGCCAAGATCGTGCCACTGCACTCCACTCTGGGGGACAGAGCAAGACTCTGTCTTAGAAAAAAAATCCTCCTTTTCAGTCAAGTTCTCACTTAGTTGAGAGTGTGACCAAAATGTAGGGCCTTAGCATCACTCTTAGTTACCATTGTTTTGGGTTCTGGTTTTAGCATGTCACTCCCATTCTTTTGGGTTCTGGTTTTAGCATGTCACTCCCATTGTTTTGGGTTTCCAGGTTTAGCACGTCACTCCCATTGTTTTGGGTTTTTGTTTTAGCACGTCACTCCCATTGTTTTAGGTTCTGGTTTAAGCACATCACTCCCATTGTTTTCATTTCCGGTTTTAGCACGTCACTCCCATTGTTTTGTGTTCCAGTTTTAGCACATCACTCCCATTGTTTTGGGTTTCTGGTTTAGCAGGGCACTCCGATTGTTTTGGGTTCTGATTTTAGCACATCACTCCCATTGTTTTGGGTTCCGGTTTTAGCAAGTCACACCCATTGTTTTGGGTTCCAGTTTTACTACATCTCTCCCATTGTTTTGGGTTTCTGGTTTAGCATGTCACTCCCATTGATTTGGGTTTCCGGTTTAGCATGTCACTCATAGGTTACAGTGTCCTTATGGTTGCACATTTTTTTTAATCTCTTGTCATTCCAGTTGAAGAGATACCATTTGACATTTTAGAGATGGCTGCATGCAAACTCTTAAAATATTTGAGTAAGTACAGTGCACCAGGGAGACTCTTATGACTATTGGGATAACACCAATAATTTTGTATATGCTCCTTACTCAGGGTCCCCATAAATCAAACCACCTAAAATCAAATAGATTAAAGAATGAATTAGATAAAGAGTTTACTTGCTTAACTAAGTGGGTTTGTTTGTTAATTCCCCACAACCAAATCTTTATAATACCTGATGTTTTCTCCACATGCTGTAAGTGTTAGCAGCTGCACAGATAATTAAGATAAGAGTCTCATGAGAGTAGAGAAGTCTTGATCTGTGATCTTGGGAAAAGCTGTTCACATTAAGGATGCCATCTTCTTCTGGGGGGAACTGTCCTTGTTAGCTTTACCTTAAGGGTTCTAATGGGTATATGGTTCTGAGTGTGGAGGGACCCTTCTGCGTTGTGAGACTATGAACCCAAAGTTTAAGGTTTTAAAGTTTTGCTGTCATGTGGATGGCAAGGGCAGTCCTTCTCTGATGTTCTCAGAAGATCCAGTCATCAGATTCTAGATTGTGAAGGGGTTGACTGTCCTCAGTGAACCATAAAAGGCTTTCTTTAGCTGGTGAAATTATACTTCAGCATAATAATCTACTGTTTTAACATCAACTCTCTTGCATGGAAGAGCTTTTATACAATCAGAAAACATGCACTGAAAATGACAACTGAATGAAATCCCTTTATAAAATGTTTAAATGGCCCATCAGGTAACCAAATATACCTGAAGTTTTGATTATTTTCCTAGAAATATAGCTTTGACGAACCAAACATTGGTTATAAACTATTTTAGCAATTTAGAAATCACCACACCAATATATTTAATTTGGATCATTTTCTCTTTCCATGATGAGTTATGGAATGCAGAACTTTTAATAACAAAAGTTTTAAGGTCTTAAGAAGGACAAGGTGGCCATCCCGGTTCTTCATAAGTCCGTGCTTAATTAACATTAGACTTACATCCTCTTGAATACCAGCTGTTTCTCCAAATTAGGTGCATGGCACTGGTAACTGATGAGTAGTTATAGGTAATTTGACTTAGACCTTGGAGTTTATTTAAATTATATATCTAAACAATTTCAATATTGGTGATTTAGCATGCAAATGTGGCAAAATATTTCCTTGGTATACAATTTTTGTTTTACTTGGGTTGGCAGTTTTATAAACCAGTTGGTCTTTTTTTTAAACTTTTGGGATTTTTTTTTTGAGACAGAGTCTCACTCTGTTACCTAGGTTGGAGTGCATTGGCACAATCTTGGCTCACTGCAACCTCCGCCTCCTGGGTTCAAGCAATTCTCCTGCCTCAGCCTTCCGAGTAGCTGGGATTACAGTCACATACCACCACACCCGGCTAATTTTTGTATTTTTAGTAGAGGCGGGGTTTCACCATTGGCCAGGCTGGTCTCAAACTCCTGACCTCAAGTGATCCACCGGCCTTGGCCTCCCAAAGTGCTGGGATTGCCGACGTGAGCCGCTGCACCCAGCCTAACTTTTGAGAATTCTTAACCAGTCCAATTATTGGGGTATCGGGGAACTTATGGGGAATTTTTACCCATGATATTAAAGTTATTAGAAATCTGTGTTCACGAGTGTTTCTCAGGGTCCTTTTCATTCTTTCATGGATCTTCTAAGAGACACCATATTCTAGAATTTTGCATGCTTGTGAAGTTTTTAGAAACTGCATCACCATTAAGCAATTAACTGTGGAAATGACTTTAAATAGTTATAGTTAAAGACAATTGACAAGGAAATTTGGTTATTTCTGTGGTCTACAATAACTTAATAACCATAATTAGGGTGGATGTGGTGGCTCATGCCTGTAATCCCAGCTCTTTGGGAGGCCAAGTTAGGTGGATCACCTGAGGTCAGAAGTTTGAGACCAGCCTGGCCAACATGGTAAAACCCTGTCTCTACTAAAAATAAAAAAATTAGCCCGGTGTGGTGGCAGATGTCTGTAATCCCAGCTACTTGGGAGGCTGAGGCAGGAGAATCGCTTGAACCCAGGAGATGGAGGCTTCAGTGAGCCTAGATCACACCATTGCACTCCAGCCTAGGTGACAAGTGTGAAACTCTGTCTCAAAACAAACAAAACATGTAATTATGATAGATAGCATATAGACATATTAGAATTTTAGAAATCCTGGCCAGGTGCAGTGGCTCAGGCCTGTAATCACAGCACTTTGGGAGGCCGAGGTGGAAGGATCACGAGGTCAGGAGATTGAGACCATCCTGGCTAACACAGTGAAACCCCGTCTTTACTAAAAATACAAAAATTAGCCTGGCATGGTGGTGGGTGCCTGTAGTCCCAGCCCAGCTACTCGGGAGGCTGAGGCAGGAGAATGGCATGAACCCAGGAGGCGGAGGTTACAGTGAGCTGAGATTGCACCACTGTACTCCAGCCTGGGTGACAGAGCAAGACTCCATCTCAGAAAAAAAAAAACAAAAAAAAAAAAGCAAAAAAAAAAAAAACAAAAAAAAAAAACAAAAAAACCCACAAGAATTTTAGAAATCCTATACAATTTTAGAATGGATTGATGACATGCAACTGAAGAAGGTTCAACATTATTTTTTATTTTGACAGTGCTACCCATGTGACTTAACATGTTAAATAGTCCTGTTTACCTCTCTTTTGGGTGCTTCAGGGGCCTCTGCTTTATCCCAAAGTTAGAGGTCAGAAAAGACAATTTTGAAGTTGAAATTTGATTTTGGGAAGCCTATTAAATATATTAAAGGTTTAAACACTTGATGTTATGAAATAGACTTCCAGGTCACCATAAGTCATTCATTTACCTAAAATCACGACTTTAAACATTTTTAAAGGGCAAAAATCTTTACTCATTGATAGAGGGAAGACTTATCTTCACAAACGATCTGCCTCTTGTTTTTCCTTTTTTTTCTTTTTGGTAGTTTGTTTACAAGGCAAACAAATTTTTCATTTATTTTATTTTATTTTATTTTATTTTATTATTATTATTATACTTTAAGTTTTAGGGTATATGTGCCCAATGTGCCAGTTAGTTACATATGTATACATGTGACATTCTGGTGTGCTGCACCCATTAACTCGTCATTTAGCATTAGGTATATCTTCTAATGCTATCCCTCTCCCCTCCCCCAACCCCTCAACAGTCCCCAGAGTGTGATGTTCCCCTTCCTGTGTCCATGTGTTCTCATTGTTCAATTCCCATCTATGAGTGAGAACATGCAGTGTTTGGTTTTTTCTCCTTGCAATAGTTTACTGAGAATGATGATTTTCAGTTTCATCCATGTCCCTACAAAGGACATGAACTCATCATTTTTTATGGCTGCATAGTATTCCATGGTGTATATGTGCCACAATTTCTTAATCCAGTCTATCATTGTTGGACATTTGGGTTGGTTCCAAGTCTTTGCTATTGTGAATAGTGCCACAATAAACATATGTGTGCATGTGTCTTTATAGCAGCATGATTTATAGTCCTTTGGGTATATACCTAGTAATTGGATGGCTGGGTCAGATGTAATTTCTAGTTCCAGATCCTTGAGGAATCGCCACACTGACTTCCACAAGGGTTGAACTAGTTTACAGTCCCACCAACAGTGTAAAATTGTTCCTATTTCTCCACATCCTCTCCAGTACCTGTTGTTTCCTGACTTTTTAATGATTGCCATTCTAACTGATGTGAGATGGTGTCTCATTGTGGTTTTGATTTGCATTTCTCTGATGGCCAGTGATGATGAGCATTTTTTCATGGGTCTTTTGGCTGTATAAATGTCTTCTTTTGAGAAGTGTCTGTTCATAGCCTTCGCCCACTTTTTGATGGGGTTGTTTGTTTTTTTCTTGTAAATTTGTTCATCAAGGATATTGGTCTTAAATTCTCTTTTTTGGTTGTGTCTCTGCCCGGCTTTGGTATCAGAATGATGCTGGCCTCATAAAATGAGTTAGGGAGGATTCTCTCTTTTTCTGTTGATTGGAATAGTTTCAGAAGGAATGGTACCAGTTCCTCCTTGTACCTCTGGTAGAATTCGGCTGTGAATCAATCTGGTCCTGGACTCTTTTTGGTGGGTAAGCTATTGATTTTTTGCCATAATTTCAGATCCTGTTATCGTTCTATTCAGAGATTCAACTTCTTCCTGGTTCAGTCTTGGGAGAGTGTATGTGTGGAGGAATTTATCCATTTCTTCTAGATTTTCTAGTTTATTTGCGTAGAGGTGTTTGTAGTATTCTCTGATGGTAGTTTGTATTTCTGAGGGATCAGTGGTGATATCCCCTTTGTCATTTTTTATTGTGTCTATTTGATTCTTCTCTTTTTTTCTTTATTAGTCCTTCTAGCGGTCTATCAATTTTGTTGATCTTTTCAAAAAACCAGCTCCTGGATTCATTAATTTTTTGAAGGGTTTTTTTGTCGCTATTTCCTTCAGTTCTGCTCCGATTTTAGTTATTTCTTGCCTTCTGCTAGCTTTTGAATGTGTTTGCTCTTCCTTTTGTAGTTCTTTTAATTGTGATGTTAGAGTGTCAATTTTGGATCTTTCCTGCTTTCTCTTGTGGGCATTTAGTGCTATAAATTTCCCTCTACACACTGCTTTGAATGTGTCCCAGAGATTCGGGTATGTTGTGTCTTTGTTCTCGTTGGTTTCAAAGAACATCTTTATTTCTGCCGTCATTTCGTTATGTACCCAGTAGTCATTCAGGAGCAGGTTGTTCAGTTTCCATGTAGTTGAGCAGTTTTAAGTGAGTTTCTTAATCCCGAGTTCTAGTTTGATTGCACTGTGGTCTGAGAGACAGTTTGTTATAATTTCTGTTCTTTTACCTTTGCAGAGGAGGGCTTTACGTCCAAGTATGTGGTCAATTTTGGAATAGGTATGGTGTGGTGCTGAAAAAATGTATATTCTGTTGATTTGGGGTGGAGAGTTCTGTAGATGTCTATTAGGTCCGCTTGGTGCAGAGCTGAGTTCAATTCCTGGGTATCCTTGTGAACTTTCTGTCTCGTTGATCTGTTTAATATTGACAGTGGGGTGTTAAAGTCTCCCATTATTATTGTGTGGGAGTCTAAGTCTCTTTGTAGGTCACTCAGGACTTGCTTTATGAATCTGGGTGCTCCTGTATTGGGTGCATATATATTTAGGATAGTTAGCTCTTCTTGTTGAATTGATCCCTTTACCATTATGTAATGGCCTTCTTTGTCTCTTTTGATCTTTGTTGGTTTAAAGTCTGTTTTATCAGAGACTAGGATTGCAACCCCTGCCTTTTTTTGTTTTCCATTTGTTTGGTAGATCTTCCTCCATCCTTTTATGTTGAGCCTATGCATGTCTCTGCACGTGAGATGGGTTTCCTGAATACAGCACACTGATGGGTCTTGACTCTTTATCCAATTTGCCAGTCTGTGCCTTTTAATTGGAGCATTTAGTCCATTTACATTTAAAGTTAATATTG
Organism: Homo sapiens; assembly: GCF_000001405.40. Classification (NCBI taxonomy): domain Eukaryota; kingdom Metazoa; phylum Chordata; class Mammalia; order Primates; family Hominidae; genus Homo; species Homo sapiens. The sequence goes on from NT_187363.1 coordinate 47,546, forward strand.
TTATGTGTGAATATGTTCCTGTCATTATGATGTTAGCTGTTGATTTTGCTCATTAGTTGATGCAGTTTCTTCCTAGTCTCGATGGTCTTTACAATTTGGAATGTTTTTGCAGTGGCTGGTACTGATTGTGCCTTTCCATGTTTAGTGCTTCCTTCAGGAGCTCTTTTAGAGCAGGCCTGGTGGTGACAAAATCTCTCAGCATTTGTTGTCTGTAAAGTATTTTATTTCTCCTTCACTTATGAAGCTTAGTTTGGCTGGATATGAAATTCCGGGTTGAAAATTCTTTTCTTTAAGAATGTTGAATATTGGCCCCCACTCTCTTCTGGCTTGTAGAATTTCTGCCGAGAGATCAGCTGTTAGTCTGATGGGCTTCCCTTTGTGGGTAACCCGACCTTTCTCTCTGGCTGCCCTTAACATTTTTTCCTTCATTTCAACTTTGGTGAATCTGACAATTATGTGTCTTGGAATTGCTGTTCTCGAGGAATATCTTTGTGTCGTTCTCTGTATTTCCTGAATCTAAATGTTGGCCTGCCTTGCTAGATTGGGGAAGTTCTCCTGGTTAATATCCTGCAGAGTGTTTTCCAACTTGGTTCCATTCTCCCCGTCACTTTCAGGTACACCAATCGGACGCAGATTTGGTCTTTTCAGATAGTCCCATATTTCTTGGAGACTTTTTTCATTTCCTTTTATTCTTTTTTCTCTAAACTTCCCTTCTTGCTTCATTTCATTCATTTCATCTTCCATCACTGATACCCTTTCTTCCAGTTGATTGCATCAGCTCCTGAGGTTTCTGCATTCTTCACTTAGTTCTCGAGCCTTGGCTTTCAGCTCCATCAGCTCCTTTAAGCACTTCTCTGTATTGGTTATTCTAGTTATACATTCGTCTAAAGTTTTTTCAAAATTTTCAACTTTTTTGCCTTTGGTTTGAATTTCCTCCTGTAGCTCGGACAAGTTTGATCGTCTGAAGCCTTCTTCTCTCAACTCGTCAAAGTCATTCTCCATCCAGCTTTGTTCCATTGCTAGTGAGGAACTGCGTTCCTTTGGAGGAGGAGAAACACTCTGCTTTTTAGAGTTTCCAGTTTTTCTGCTCTGTTTTTTCCCCATCTTTGTGGTTTTATCTACTTTTGGTCTTTGATGATGGTGATGTACAGATGGGTTTTTGGTGTGGATATCCTTTCTGTTTGTTAGTTTTCCTTCTAACAGACAGTACCCTCTACTGCATGTCTGTTGGAGTTTGCTAGAGGCCCATTCCAGACCCTGTTTGCCTGGATATCAGCAGTGGTGTCTGCAAAACCGTGGATTTCGTTATCCGCAAATGCTGCTGTCTGATCGTTCCTCTGGAAGTTTTGTCTCAGAGGAGTACCCGGCCATGTGAGGTGTCAGTCTTCCCCTACTGGTTGGTGCCTCCCAGTTAGGCTGCTCAGGGCTCAGGGGTCAGGGACCCATTTGAGGAGGCAGTCTGCCCATTCTCCGATCTCCAGCTGTGTGCTGGGAGAACCACTGCTCTCCTCAAAGCTGTCAGACAGGGACATTTAAGTCTGCAGAGGTTACTGCTGTCTTTTTGTTTGTCTGTGCCCTGCCACCAGAGGTGGAGCCTGCAGAGGCAGGCAGGCCTCCTTGAGCTGTGGTGGGCTCCACCCAGTTCGAGCCTCCTGGCTGCTTTGTTTACCTAAGAGAGCATGGGCAATGGCGGGTGCCCCTCCCCCAGCCTGGCTGCCACCTTGCAGTTTGATCTCAGACTGCTGTGTTAGCAATCAGCGAGACTCCATGGGCGTAGGACCCTCCAAGCCAGGTGCAGGATATAATTTCCTGGTGCGCCGTTTCCTAAGCCCGTCAGAAAAGCACAGTATTAGAGTGGGAGTGGCCCAATTTTCCAGGTGCCATCTGTCACCCCTTTCCTTGCCCAGGAATGGGAACTAACTCCCTGACCCCTTGCGCTTCCCGAGTGAGGCAATGCCTCGCCCTGCTTCAGCTGGCGCATGGTGCACTTCACCCACTCTCCTGCACCCACGGTCTGGCACTCCCTAGTGAGATGGACCCAGTACCTCAAATGGAAATGCAGAAATCACCCGTTTTCTGCGTCACTCATGCTGGGAGCTGTAGACCGGAGCTGTTCCTATTCGGCCATCTTGGCTCCTCCTACCATTATTTTTTAATATTATCTGAAAATCTTCTTTAAAGAGAGAAAGCCAAATGTCACCCACTTTTTCATAAAACCTTATAGGCAAATCTATTATTTTTTTTTTTTGAGGTGGATTTTCCCTCTTGTTGCCCAGGCTGGAGTGCAATGGTGCGACCTCGGTCCACTGCAACCCCCTGCCTCCCAGGTTCAAGCGATTCTCCTGCCCCAGCCTCCTGAGTAGCTGGGATTAGAGGCATGCCCCACCATGCCCAGCTAATTTTGTGTTTTTAGTAGACACGGGGTTTTTCCTTGTTGGTCAGGCTGGCCCTGAATTCCTGACCTCAGGAGATCCACCTGCCTCGGCCTCCCCAAGTGTTGGGATTACAGGCATGAGCCGCTGCCTCTGGCCATTTTTTTTTTAAAGATAGCGTCTTGCTCTGTCACCCTCCTCAGCACATTATAGCTATGGGGGCCAAGCTGCATCACAGTGGAAATCAAGGAGACACAGGGAGAATCCACTCAGCTTTGCAAGATGCTGCCCAAGGGGTTGCTTGGAGTAACCAAATTAACATTTTTCATTCTGCCCAGAGCAAAATACATGTGACAAAACATAGACACGAGCCACTTTGCTCAGCACCCAGTGTCAAACTGGTAAGACTCAAACTTGCTCCCAGATAGGCCGTGCCATCTCTAAATCTTTTTAGAAGCTTCTGCATATTAATAGGCATCCCTAGATGAGACTAATTTTGGAGGCCTCATTTTTAAATGCATTCCAGGGCATTATTCATTTGGAATGTTCCACTGTAAGTTATCTTTAGTAAGATTTTGCCATTTCTGTAAGACTTTGCTGCTTCCCAGGCCTAATGAATTAGCCAGAAGGAGCTTAGTTTTCCAGAAATTAAGGATCCTATTTTTACCTAATATATTGGCTTTACTCCCAGGTTCCCTTGATTGACTTAGCCAATTTTTTTTTTTCCTACCTAAGCGTGCGAGGAAAATGAAACAAAGGTGTAGAACACAAAAATCCCCGTGAATTTTCAAAAGCCAAATTTTACAACCCTCCAATATTATCATTTATTACCACTTTCTTTCTGACCCATTCAGATGTAGGAGGCCTCTAACTGGAACTGGATTCAAGCCAGTTAACTACTGGATGAAATCTGATCCTGGACCCGGTCCCGTTTCTGTTATAACTTCTAAAACATCCAGCCAGTCATGGCTGGATAGCAGTTTGGAACAGAAATTTGCTCAAAGAAACTCAGAGCTCAAAACACAAATCCATGGAGCTCTGAATTCCGAGAGAGAATTTACCATGATCCCCAGCTGCTCCGAGAGGTCAAAGGGCACAAGTGTTACAGAATCCTGAGGCAACACTTTTCTGCCTGAAACCTCTGGCTGGTGGTGCTTTTTCCTGTGTTTTGCTCGGGCCCACTGGGTTTGTTCTGTCCACTCGGCTCATGCTAGTGGTCTGGATCCCACACATGCCAAGGGTAAACTGGGTACAGAGCAGTGAAGGGTGTGTGAGCAAGCGAGCATGGGATCTGGCCACTGCACACAGCCAAGCATGCCAGCTGCAGTGGAGTGGGCAGCTCCAGGCACCGGCACAGGTTCCAGCTCCCTGTGAGGCTGCAGCTGGACCAGGCCGACTGCAAACAGCTTCCACTGTGGGTATCAGGGAATGCAGTGGCACCCGGAAGCTTGGAGATGCAGGAACTGCAGAGCCCCAAAGAAGGTGTCACAGCTCTGGCTTGGGGAGTTCCTATGTCTGGGATCCCTGAAAGGCCACAGCTCTTCTCTCCTTCTCTCTTCTCTTCTTCTTGCCTACAATTTGGCAAGCAAGGGGTGCGTTTCAGCCCTGTTTATGTTACATCTCTTTCAGCCCTGCTAGTTGGCAGGTCCTGAGTTCTTGTCCTGAGTCCAGGAAGAATGAGGTATGTGGACAAGTAGAAGGTGAGCAAGGTGAAGAGGTGCTTTATTGAGTAACAGTACAGCTCAGAGGAGACCTGCAGTGGGTAGCTCCTTTCTGCAGGCAGGTCATCCCAACATCTGTTCAGCTCTCAGCAGCTGAGAGAGACGCACAGTGGGTAGCTGTGCCCACAGTGCCCAAGCTGTTCGAGCTGAGGAGTGCCTTCAGGCCAGTGCTGAGCCACTCTTAGCCCCACCTCAACCTCCCTCCTGTGCTCGTCAGTGCCCAAAGTCTGGAAGGGGCTGAGGTGGCAGGGGGCTGGCATGTCAGCACTGCCCTGAGCTTGCACAAACCGGGCTGGGTTGTGACTGTGCCGGGTTCAGCCTTAACTTGGATCTGAAGTTGGAGTGGGCTCTGGGAGCAGAGAGACGCCAGGTGGTGGGACCAGGTACAACTGAGCCTGTGGTGGCAGGGGGGCTTGCTGGGCCTCTGAGAGTGCAAAGATGCCTGGGTTTGCAGTCATGGCTGGATGGCTGCAGCTGTGCCTGGGAGGGTGGGGCTCCTGCCTGCCAATTTAGAAGGGGTGGGGCTCCCACCTGTTCCTGGCTCCCACCAGCTTCGAGGAGTGCACAGGCCCAGCCATTCCTCCCCACTGCAGCCAGTGTCTCCGTAGCAACTGCTCCACGTGGGCCACTGCTGGCATCACAATGCGGTCCTTGCAGGTGCCTTTCTTGTACCTCAGCACTCCTTGGGGTCATTAGAAGCCCTAGCAACACTGCTCACCACACTATAGCTCTGGAGGCCCTAGCAGTCCTGCTCCCACAGATCCCACTTCTGACACCATCTATTAAAAGAAAATCTTCAGCTGAATTAAATTTAAAGGAACTTAATTGAGCAATGAATGATTCACGAATCAGGCAGCCCCAGAATCACAGCAGATTCAGTGAGACTCCAGCACAGCTACATGGTGGAAGATTTATAGACAATAAAGGGAACCTGATGTACAGAAATCTGAAGTGAGGAGTGAGGTCCAGAAGCAATTGGGTCCGTTACAGTTCTCAGCAGTGAGGTCCAGAAACAACTGGACTGGTTACAGTGCTCAGCATTTGCCTTATTTGAACACAGCTGAACACTCAGCCGTGTGTGAGTGGCAGAAGTTTGGCTGTTGGGATTGGCCAGGACTCAGCTATAGTTACAGGTGCATACTCCTAAGTTAGGTTTTCAGTCTTTCTACCTATTAAGTTAGGTTGCAGTTTGCCCACAGGGACTCAAATCTAGAAGTACGGAGTCCTTCCCAGGTCATATTTAGTTCACTGTAATAGTTCCTATTATGACCTCACTGACAGTTCTTTTTCTCTGAATTCTCCTTTCTTCTCAACAGCTTATCCAAATGTTCCGTTGGTCACTGTTCATCCCGCCCTGCAGTTCTCCTTGACTGATTCAACCCTTTGTGGTTTGCAGTCCTGTTTCTCTACAGCTTGGACCTCTTATTCTTTCCATCATAGGTTTAACACTCTGTTGAATGCTTCTTTGTAGCTATCCAAAATTTACCTTAAGCTCAAAAAATTCAAAGTGAAAGCCATATCCTTCTCTCTTCCCTTCTGTGTATGGTATTACTACCATGAGCCAGTGACCCAAAATAGGATTTCTTCTGGGCTTTTCTTGCTTACATTCAGGCTCATCTGGTGTCAAGCCTTGTTACTTTTGTTTCTTTGTTCTTTTATTTTTAATTTTTTTTCTTTTGAGACAAAGTTTCACTCTTGTTGCCCAGGCTAGAGCTCAGTGGTGTGATCTCAGCTCACTGCAGGCTCCACCTCCCAGATTCAAGCAATTCTCCTGCCTCAGCTCCTGAGTAGCTGGTATTACAGGCTTTTGCCACCACGCCCGGCTAATTTTGTATTTTTAGTAGAGATGGGATTTACTGTTTTGATCAGGGTGGTCTCGAACTCCTGACCTCAGGTGATCTGCCCGCCTCGGCCTACCAAAGTGCTGGGATTACAGGCATGAGCCACCGTGCCTGGCCTGCTTGTTGTTTTCATCTCATCCTGATTTCCGAATACAGGAGAGGAGCTGAGTTGGTGTTCACTAACAAGCACGGCAGCTTTGTTACATTTACCGTGTCATTCTTGGCAAAACCTGAATGGTGTGTTTGTGGGGTGACGAGGTTCAGTCCCCTGTGACCTGTGCATCTGGCCAGCACTGTGGTGACATCCTTAGGAATCCATGGGGAAAGAGAAAGCATTCCAGAGTTAGTGGGTCACGTTTGACAAGGGCCAGTAAAGAAATATGCAAAGACAAAAAACAAGAAGAACATTGTCATATTTTCTACCTTTTGTTTATATAAATTTATGTCAATGATTCTAGCTTATGTTAATATGCAATGTATACAATATGCTAACATATACAATATATGTTTATAGTTTAAACATTTCTGTCATGTTTTCAGATTCTTTAAAGATGATATTACACTTCCTATTTCAGATAGCTGCTTAAAATGAGTAAGGAAAAATGGATGTGTGCATCAGTTGTAACTGTTTATGGACTAAAACTAGTTGATTTCCTGGTTAAGAACAAAAGTGACAAACTAATTAACTGAAAATTTTAAGTAGGCAATTATAGTTTTAGCTTTAAAGTAAAATATTAACTATGCTCCATTCTTGCATTTTTAACCTAATACTCAATATAAATCGCCACATGCCATGTTTCAGATCAAGGTTCTACTTGTGATCTCTCATGAGTTTTTCAAGGTTTTAATTATCTGTGATGTAACTACGTACCAGTAACCTTACTGGCTTAAACCAGGAATTTATTCTTTTTCCATGTCACAATTTTCTGGGTCAAGACACTGGAGAGAGCGGTGTGGGTTGGCTGCTTCATGATGTCCCTGGTCTCATCTGGAAGGACTCTAGTGGCTGGGGATATGGAGCAGGCACCCAACCCTCTCTTTGTGGCCAGCACGGACTTCCTTCCAGTCTGGCAGCGTCAGGTAGTCAGGTTTGTCTGGCTTCTCCCAGGGTGTGTGTCCAAGAGGCCCAGGCAAAAGCTGTAAGGCCTCTCATGATTGCCCCTCAAAAGTCCCAGAGCATCCCTCCTGCCACAATGTCCAGTTGTACTCATCACTGAGACCAGCCATGATTCAAGGGGGATAGGTGATTAGATTCCACCTCTTGATGAGAAGCATAGTAGGAACCTGCAGCAGTCTTTAATAAACCACAGCTTGTCCTCTGGCCACAAACTATTAACGCTTCTCCCACATGCAAATTATTCTTTGCCCCTCTCAAGAGCCCCAGAATGGTTTTCCTTATGGCACTGGCTGGTAGCCCAACTGAATCCTGAATCAGTTTGTGGTGGCCTGTCATCTGCACCCACACACACAGCCACAGTGAGGACTGAATCAGGTTGTGGTGGCCTGTCATCTGCGCCCGACACACTCAGCCGCAGTGAGGACTGAATCAGGTTGTTGTGACCTATCATCTGCACCCACACACTCAACCGCAGTGAGGGGAGTGGTGTGAAAACAGTCGGCATTTCCCTTTAGAAGCTGTTGGTGGGAGGTAGGAGGGAGGTGCTGCCCTGCAGGCCCCGTCTAACAGTTGGTCATTCCCATGGGGCGCCTGTTACAGTTCTGTGATTAGTGCCCAGTCCTGGTCCCTGAGAACCGCGCCCAGTCCTGGTCCCTGAGAACGGCGTTTGTGTCCTTTTACTCCTCCCTCTGGGCTTTTGTCATTCTCCATGTTCTTTTTCCTTCATTGCCTGTGTTGCCGTTGACCAAATTTCTCTGCCTCTTTCTTATGGTCAATAGGGTACTCATTGGCTTCTTTTTCATTTTTTTTCCCTTTTCTTTTCTTTTTTTTTTTTACTTTGGCCTTTTGAGACAAGAAATTATTTCTTTATATTTTCTCTAAATTCTGTTTGAAAACTGAACCTCCTTCTTTAGATCATGTCCCTCTCCTGTCATATTTATTCAGTGACAGTTAAGGGAGGCTTGTAGCACTTTCCATGTTCTTCCCAGATGTCTCCTTAGGCAGATCCCTGAGATGGTGCAGTGCCCTTTCAGTTTCCATGTTGTGGCCGTAGTTTTCTCACAGTCCCTCAGCACGTAACTCTCAGGCCTTTTCTCCAGTTTCCAATGACATTTTCTCACAGTCCTTCAGGCCCTGACCAAGAGTCTTGATGCCCTTCCAGGTTGCATGAATGGTCTCCTTGAGGCCCAGTTACAGGTCAGCCTCACAGTCGTGGCACATATTGTAGCTTCTGATTACTACAGTGGCTCATTTCCAGCTGCCATATTCTGTTCCAGTTATCTATTCTGAAGAAACCATCCCCAAAACTTGGCAGCTTAAAACAACTCATTATTACTTGTTTTTTGGCTTAGAGAGTCTTGGTGGCCAGCTCATCTCACACACAGTTGCAGCCAAGCTGGATTGTGTGAAAGCACAGCGGGTGGTGTGCAGGGTGGCTCACTAGTGGTTGGGAGTGGATGTTGCTGGAGGCTCACTAGTGGTTGGGAGTCGGTGTTGCTGGAGGCTCAGTGAGGGATGTCAATGCGTGTAGCTAGTCATGGACTGGCCGTGTTGTTTCCATCATGGGGTCTCAGGGGAGTGGGATTTCCTGCCTGGTGACTGGCTTTCTCCTGAATAAGTGTTCTGTTTTCTCAGCCTGGCTTCTGAAGTCCCCAAATACCACCTTTGTCACCTTCTGTTGGCCAAATAAGTCAGTAGTCTGGGCAAGGTTTAAGGGGAATTGGTTCTCACAGAGACAGGAGCAGGAAAGAAGTTGTCACCTTTAGTCTACCTGAAATGTGATTTTTATAAAAACTTTGTTCCAAATACATTCCAGTTCCCCTTGTGAATACTTTTTTGACTCACAGGATATTTCAAAGTTTATTACTTGGTTTTCAGACATTTGAGGCTTTTCTGGATATCAATTTGTTGTTGGTTTCTAATTTAATTTCAAGTGTTCAGAGAAACATACTTTGTATACTATTTCAGGCTTGAACCTTTCCTCAATCGATCGACATACAGTCTAACTTGGTACTGCCAAGTACCATTTGGGTCAGGATTTTGTCATTTAGATCCGTATTTTTCCTATATTTTTATCTGGTTGTTCTGTCAGTTACTGAGGGAGCAGTATTAATTCACCAGCTATAATTTTGGATTGTCAATTTCCTGCTTTTGTTCTGTTGTTTTTGATTCACATACTTTGAGGCTCTGTGAGTGTGTGTACTTTGTGTGCACTTTGAGGCACAATTTATAATTGTAACATCATCCTCTCTGATTCTTTTATTTTTATGAAATTAGCCTGTTTATTTCTGGTGATATATTTTATTCTGAAGCCTCTTTCATCTAGTGTTAACATCTCCATTGAAGCTTTTTATGACTAGTGTCTGGATAGCATAATTTTATGATTAGTGTCTGCATAGCATATTTTTTCTCATACTTTGTGTCTTTGTGTTTAAATTGTGTCTCTGTGGATGCCATATTATTGGGTCTTGCTTTCCTCTCAGGTCTGGCAGTCTCTGTCTTAAGTAGAGTATTTGTCCAGTTACATTGTAACTAATCATTGCTAAGGTTGGATTTAGGTCTGCCATTTTTCTACTTATTTTCTATTTGTTTATTTTTTTTAAGACAAGGTCTTGCTCTGTCACCCAGACTGTAGTGCAATGGTGCAATCTTGGCTCACTGCAACCTCTGCCTCCAAGGCCCAACCAATCTTCACTTGAGACCCCTGAGTAGCTGGGACTACAGGTACATGGCACCACACCTGGCTAATTTTTATATTTTTTGTAGAGATAGGGTTTTGCCATGTTGCACGGACTGGTCTTGAACTCCTGAGCTCAAGCAATCTACCCACATTGGCCTCCCAGAGTGTTCAGATTACAGGCATAAGCCACCATGCCTGGCCTTCGTCTGTCTTTTGATCTTCTATGTGTTCTTTCCTAACTTCTTTTGGGTTAAATATTTCTAAATATTCCAGTTTGATTAATCTTTTGGCTTTTTGAAATAATTTTTTATAGGCTGGGCATGGAGGCTTATGCTCGTAATCTCAGCTCTGTGGGAGGCCAAAGGAGGTGGATTGCTTGAGCCCAGGAGGTTGAGACCAGCCTGGGCAACATGGCAAAACCCTCTCTACAAGAAAACCAAACCAAAATTTAGCCTGACATCTTGGTGTGCACCTGTAGTCCCAATTATTCGGGAGGCTGAGGTAGGAGGGTTGCTTGAGCCTGAGAGGTTGAGGCTGCAATGAGCTGTGATCATGCCATTGCACTCCTGCCAGGGCAACAGAGTAAGATCCTGTGTCAAAAAAGTTCATTTTTTTATAAATAATTTATTATTTAGAATTTTGGTAACAAATACATACCTTAAAATTTACCATCATAACAAGTTGTAAGTATACAGTTTTGTAGAGTTAAGAATATTTACAGTGTTGTGTAGCAGATTTCTAGATTTTTATCTTGGAAAACTCTATACCCATTTAACAACTATTAATTTCCCCCTCCTTCCACCTCCTGCAAGTACTATTCTATTTTGTGTTTCTAAAAATTCGGCTTATATACCTAGGGTTATGTAATATTTGTTGTTTTGTAAGTAGGTTCCATATTATGTGTCAGATGTGTCAGGATTTTCTTCCTTTCTATGGCTGAATAATATTTCTTCATATATATATATTTTTTTCTATATATATATTTTCTATATATATATATTTTCTATATATATATCCTTTTGTTTATCCATCTATTCCCGGAGGGACGTTTTGGTTTCTTCCACCTTGTGGCTGTGTAATGCTGCTGTGAACATAGGTGTGCACATATCTGTTTGAGGTCCTGCTACTAGTTATTCTGTCTCTGTAGAAGTTGGATGGCTGGATCATATGGTCATTTTATTTTATTTTTTTTTGAGAAGCCAGTTCATATTTCCACCAACAGTGTTCAAGGGTTTCAGTTTCACCTGCACTTGTTACTTTCTGTTGGGTTTGAAGTGATGTCCCTTTGTGGTTTCTATTTGCATTTCTCTAATGACTAGTGATGTTACACATCTTCTCATATATCTCATGTATCTGTTGGCTATTTGTATATCATCTTTGTATCTTTGGATAAATGTTCTTTGTCCATTTCTTAATCACTTTATTTTGTTGTTGGGTTGTAGCGGGGTTTTTTGGTTATGATCATTCATTTATCTCACAGTTCATTCTTGTTACTTGGGCCAGGGTCATGGTCATTCATTATCTCTCAGTTCATCCTCAATACGTTGGGCAAACAGTCATGCTGCAGGGTACAGATTATGTTATTCTGTTACTTTCAGGTAGAATTGGGGTCTAGGTTCTAATTGTTTCTAAGTTTAGATTCTGAATAAGAATCGGCAGAGGTAGACCACTGCTGCTGCGGCCTGGGGATTGCTGAGAAAAAGGCAGGAAACAGATACGGACCTGAACATGGAGGGTTTTTGTTTCACAGCTCCCATCTGGTTACCCAAGGAACTTACATGTAGCTCGTGTGTGGAGAGCCTACATTGCCCACTCAAAGCAATTGAGGATAGAACAGTCTTGGGGCTGGAGCTCATTATTTGGAATGATAACCACATCTGCACAGAGAGGATCTGATAAGATGTTGTCCTTCCATGTATATCTGGGAATCCTGTGTAGGGTCTGTCTGTAAGGACAGGGGCAGTGTTGGCTCCTTGGCCTCTAGTTAGCCTCATGAGTAGTCTAGTAAAGGCTTTGCAAACTTGTCACCATCTGTGGACATTCTGGCCAGCTCTTGTTTTCACCCTACTGACTTCTTCAGACACTAGGCTTTTGCTTTAGACCATTCATGGTTTTTCTTCCTCTTCAAATCAGTAATCAATAAATTTCCACTCCTTTAGGAAACTCTGATCTTCTGGTCATGCCAAGGTTTATTTAACTGGTTTGATTGTTTTTCTGTTTTCTTGGTTTCTTTTTCCTTCTTCCTGGGGGTTTCTAGTAATTTTAGTTTGATGTCTCACTTTCTCCATTTTTTATTTCTTAGTTTTCTTCTGTGATTATTTTCACTGCAGCTGCAGGGCCTAATCCTGGGTTGGCAGAGAACAAGCACTTACTCTGCCCTAATTGGAATCCAGGAGAGATAGGAGGTGCCCTAGTATGAAAATGTGTTTGCTCCTTTCTGCTTCTGGTAGTCTCTCTGTAGGAGTTCTTTACGTATTCTGTATGTTCACTTCTTATGAGATACATGATGTGCAACTATAGATTGAATGTCTCTGATCCAAAAATCTGAAATCCCAAATGCTCCAAAGTCTGAAACTTTTTGAGTGCCAACATGACACTCAAAGGAAATGCTTATTGGAGCATCTCAGACTCAGGTGTTTGAATTCGAGATGCTAAACCAGTAAGAATAATGCAAATATTACAAAATCTGAAACACATCCCAAGCATTTCAAATAAGGGACACTCAACTGGTATTTTCTTTTATTCTACAGTTTGCCTTTTACCCTGTTTGTTGTGACCTTTGAGGTACAGAAGTTTTTAAGTTTGATATATTTTTGCTTTTACTGCCTGAGCTTTTAATGTCATATCCTAAAAAATATTGACAAATTCATCGTCATAAAGCATTTTCCAAATTTGTTTTCCCTAGGAGTTTGATAGTTGTAGTTTTACATTTAGGTTTATAATTCACTTTGAATTAATTTTAACGTGGTGTAAGGTAAGAGTCCAACATCATTGTTTTGAATGTAGATATACAATTTTCCCAACACCATTTGTTGAAGAAACTGTCCTTCACCATTGAGTGGTCTTGGCTTCCTTGTGGAAGATCATCGGACCATATATGCCAGGGTTGGTTTCTGAGGTCTCTGTTGTGTTGGTCCATAAGTGTGTCAAGTGTGTCTTTATGCCATGACCACATTTTTTTTGGCTTATTGCAGTTTTGTAATTGTTTTGAGACATTTAATTTTGTTCTGTTTCAAGATTGATTTGCCTATTCATGGGCCCTGGAGATTCCATATGAATTTTAGGATAGGTTTTTCTGTTTATCAAAAATGTCATTGGAATCTGTATAAGGATTGTATTGAATCTAGGTCACTTCGAGTAGTGTTGACATCATTCCAAGATGAAATCATCTAATCTGCAAACCCAGCTTTTCTTTTCATTTATTTGTGTTTAATTTCTTTCAACAGTGTTTTGTAGTTTACTCTGTTCAAATCTTTTGCACTCTTGGTTAAGCTTATTTCTAATTTTTATAATGCTGTTGTAAATGTAATTCTTTTTTTTTTTTTTTTTTTTGAGATGGAGTCTTGTTCTTTCTCCCAGGCTGGAGTGCAGTGGCACTATCTCAGCTCACTGCAACCTGCGCCTTCTTTATTCAAGCGATTCTCCAACTTCAGCCTCTCAAGTACCTGGGATCACAGGTGTGTGCCACCACACGCAGCTAATTTTTTGGTATTTTTAGTAGAGACAGGGTTTCTCCATGTTGACCCGGCTAGTCTTGAACTTGTGACCTCAGGTGCTCTGCCCGCCTCGGCCTCCCAAACTGCTGGGATTGCAGGCATGAACCACTGCACCCGGCCAAATGTCATTCTTTCTAAAAAATTATTTTCTTTTGTTTTCTCTTTCTTTTCTTTTCTTTGTCTCTCTTTCTTTCCTTTCTTTCTTTTCTTTGAGACGGCGTCTCACTCAGTTTCCTAAGCTGGAGCGCTGTGGCACAACCTCAGCTGACTGCAACCTCCAACTTCCAAGTTCAAGCAATTCTCCTGCCTCAGCCTCCCAAGTAGCTTGGACTACAGGTGTCTGCCACTACGCCCAGCTAATTTTTGTATTTTAAATAGAGACAGAGTTTTATTATTTATATTAGAGATGGGGTTGGCCCAGCTGGTCATGAACTCCTGACCTCAGGTGGTCTACCTGCCTTGGCCTCCCAAAGTGCTGGGATTATAAGTGTGAGCCACTGCACCTGGCCTCTCTTTTTAAAATTTTATTTGCAGATTGTTCATTGTTTGTTTATAGAAATGCAACTGACATGTGTGTGTTACTGTATCCTGAAACTTTGTTGAATTTCATTATTTTACCAGTATTTTGTGGAATTTCAGGATTTTTATCATTACATCCTGTTGTCTGTGAACAAAATTTTGTACTTTTTCCTTTCCAATTTGCATGCTTTTTATTACTTTATCTTGCCTAATTATTCTGAGTAGAAATTCCAGTACTGTGGTGAATAGAAGTGGCAGGAAGGGATGTAGCTATCTTATTCCTGATCCTAGAGGAAAAGATTTTAGTTTTTCACCATTGAGTATGATGTTAGCTGTAAGCTTTTCATGTATAATCTTTATTTACTGAGGAGTTTCCATATATTACTAATTCTTTGAGTGTTTTTATTACAAAAGGTGTTCATCTGGCTCTGGAACCAGATAAATGTTGACCTGATAGAATGGATTGGAATGTCCCCTTCTGGTTTTTAAACATTTTTGAAATATTTTGCAGAGGATTGGCATTAATTCTTCTTGAAATGTTTGGTAAAATTCTCCAGTGAAGTTATCTGGACCTGGAATTTGCTTTTTTGGGGGGTTTTTGATTACTGGTTGAATCTTCGTACTAGTTACAGGTCTCTTTGGATTTTTTATTTCTCCGTGATGCAGTATGGTGGTTTGTGTTTCTAGGAATTTATAAATTTATTCTAGGTTGCCCAGTTTTGTGGCATATGGTTGCTCACATTAGTCTCTTGTAATCTTTTTCATTTCTGTGGCATCTGTTGTAGTGTCACTTCTTTTATTTATGATTTTAGTATTTGAGATTTCTCTTTTTCCTTAATATAGCTGTGAGTTTTAAAATTTTTATTGATCTTTAAAAAGACAAACTCAGTGTGTTTTTTTTTCCTTTTTTTCTGGTCTTATTCTGCTTATCTCTGCTCTAATCTGTTATTTTCTTCCTTTTGCTTGGTTTGTCATTAGTTTTTTTTTCCCCTACAAGTGTAATGTTAGGTTATTCATTTGAGATCTTTCTTCTTTTTAATTTAAGCATCTGCAGCTGTAAGCTTCCCTTTAGCATGGGTTTGAGATCTTCTTTTTAATTTAAGCATCTGCAGCTATAAGCTTCCCTTTAGCATGGGTTTGAGATCTTTCTTCTTTTTAATTTAAGCATCTGCAGCTGTAAGCTTCCCTTTAGCATGTGTTTCAGATCTTTCTTCTTTTTAATTTAAGCAACTGCAGCTGTAAGCTTCCCTTTAGCACTGCCTTTGTTGCCTTCTCCTGAGTTTGGGTATGTCATGGTTTTGTTTTCATTTGCTTGAATATTTTTTTGTCCTATTGTAATATAATTGTGTTGTTTTTAATAAAGGTAATTAATGAAACACATAATGAATTGTGCTTCTGTTTTTATAATATTTTGAGCATTCTTAACTCAGAAATGTAAATTTTAGAAAAAAAATCCAGGCCAGGCACAGTGGCTCACACCTGTAATCCCAGCACTTGGGGAGACCGAGGTGGGTGGATCATCTGAGGTCAAGAGTTGGAGACCAACCTGACCAACATGGTGAAACCCTGTCTTTACTAAAAATAAAAAATATATATATAAAAGTTAGCCGGGTGTCATGGCGGGTGCCTGTAATCCCAGCTACTCTGGAGGCTGAAGCAGGAGAATCACTTGATTCTGGGAGGCGAAGGTTGCAGTGAGCTGAGATTGCACCACTGCACTCCAGCCTGGGTGACAGAACGGAAGTCCATCTCAAAAAAAAAAGAAAAAAAATTTCAGACATATTTATATGTATTTCAATTTAGAAACTGTGATCTCCTAAGTGTATTGACACAGCAACCTGACATAAAGATAAAGAATAATAAGCATACAACAAAACGGAAACTTGCAAATACCTGTTTTTTATTAATTTTTAATTATATATATTTAAAAATTGCCAGGTGCAGTGGCTTACACCTGTAATCCCAGCACTTTGGGAGGCTGAGGTGGGCAGATCACATGAGGTCAGGAGTTTGAGACCAGCCTGGCCAACATGGTGAAACCTCATCTCTATTAAAAATCAAAAAATTAGTCAGACGTGATAGCAAGCATCTGTAGTCCCAGCTACTCGGGAGACTAAGGCAGGAGAATTGCTTGAACATGGGAGGCAGAGGTGCAGTGAGCCAAGATAGTGCCACTGCACTCCATCCTGGGTGACATAGTGAGACTCTGTCTCAAAAAAATAAAAATTGCATGGGTGCAGTGGCTCACACCTGTAATCGCAGCACTTTGTGAAGCTGAGGCAGGCAGATCACGTCAGGAAATCGAGACCATCCGGGCTAACATGGTGAAACGCCATCTCTACTAAAGATACAAAAAATTACCCGGGCGTGTTGGTGGGTGCTTGTAGTTCCAGCTACTCCGGAGGTTGAGTCAGGAGAATGGTGTGAAACTGGGAGGTGGAGCTTGCAGTGAGCCGAGATTGCACCACTGGACTCCAGCCTGGGTGACAGAGCAAGACTCTGTCTCAAAATAAAATAAAATAAAACTAAGGTGTGGTTGACATACAAAAATTACACATATTTAATATACACCTTATGTGTTTTTGTGTGTGTGTGTATGTGTGTGACAGAGGTTTTACTCTTTTTGCCCAGGCTGGAGTGCAGTGACACGATCTCAGCTAACTGCAACCTCCACCTCCCGGGTTCAAGCAATTCTCCTGCCTCAGCCTCCTGAGTAGCGGGGATCGCAGGCGTGCGCCCCCACGCACAGCTAATTTTTGTATTTTTTTAGTAGAGACAGGATTTCACCATGTTGGCCAGGCTGGTCTCGAACTCCTGACCTCAGATGATCCACCTGCCTCAGCCTCCCAAAGTGCTGGGATTACAGGCGTGTGACACCGAATATATACATCTTAATGAGTTTAGAGATAAGTATTCGCCCCAGGACTCATCACAACAAGTAATGCCGTAAACTTGACCATCACTTCCCATATATTTCTCATTCTCACTCTTTTTAAAAAATGAGACAGGGAGCGGTGGCTCACACCTGTAATCCCAGCACTTTGGGAGGCCAAGGCAGGTGGGTCACAAGGTCAGGAGGTCAAGACCATCCTGGCTAACACAGTGAAACCCAGTTTCTACTAAAAATACAGAAAATTAGCTGGGCGTGATGGCGGGCGCCTGTAGTCCCAGCTACTCGGGAGACTGAGGCAGGATGATGGTGTGAACCCGGGAGGCAGAGCTTGCAGTGAGCCGAGATCGTGCCACCACACTCCAGCCTGGACAACAGAGCGAGACTCCATCTCAAAAAAAAAATGAGATGACCATTTCACCTAAAATATACCCTCTTAAGTTTTTTTTTTAAGAAGTGTACAATACAAGACAGCCATGCATCAGAGATATATGTGGGTTTGGTTCCAGACCACTGCAATAAATCGAGTTATACAATTTCTTTTGGTTTCCCAGTGCATGTAAAAGTATGTTTATACTGTGCTGTATAAAGTGTGCAATAGCATATGACTACAAAGTGTGCATACTTTAATTTACAAATACTTTATTGTTAACAAGTGCTAACAGTCATCTAAGCCTTCAGAAAGCTGCAATCTTTTTTTGTGTGTGTGACAGGGTTTTACTCTGTGGCTCAGGCTGGAGTAATTGTAGCGTCAACCTCATGCTCAATCAAACCCCCACCTCAGACTCCTGGCTAACTGGGACTACAGGTGCATGCCACCATGTCCAGCTAATTTTTGTATTTTTTTTTTTTGTAGAGATGGGGTTTTGCCATGTTGCCTTGACGTCCTGGGCTCAAGCAATCCACACAACTTGGCCTCCCAAGGTGTTGGGATGACAGGTGTGAGCCACTGCATCTGGCCAAGTTTCAGTCTTCTAGCTGATGGAGGGTCTTGCCTTAATGTAAGGTGGTGGTTGCTGAGCGTTGTGGTGGCTGTGGCAATTTCTTAAAATAAGACAACATTGAAGTTTGCTGTGTCAATTGACTCTCCCTTTCACAAAAGAATTATCTGTAGCATACGATGTTGTTTGATAGCTTTTTACCCACAGTAGAACTTTCAAAATTGGATTCAATCCTGTCAAACCTTTGTACTGCTGTACGAACTAAGTTTATGTATTATTGTAAATCATTGGGTTCGATCCTGTCAAGCCCTCTTTCTGCAGTACCAACTAAGTTTATTCTAAATCTGTTGTCATTTCAACAATATTTACACTGTCTTCACCACGAGTAGATTTCATCTCAAGAAACCACTTTCTTTGCTCATCCGTGGAAGCAACTCATCCACACACATTTTCTCCGGAGGCTGCTGCAGTCTCGCCACATCTTCAGGCTCTGTCTCTGATTCTAGTGCTCTTGTTATTTCCACCATATCTGCAGTTACTTCCTACACAGAAGTCGTGAACCCCTCAGTGTCATCTGTGACGGTTGGAATAATCTTCCCAACTTCTCTCCCTCTCTTTTTTTTTTTTGAGATGAAGTCTTGCCTGGGCTGGAGTGCAGTGATGCGATCTCAGCTCACTGCAACCTCCACCTCCCGGGTTCAAGCAATTCTCCTGCCTCAGCCTCCCAAGTATTTGGGATTACAGTCACCCCCGACCAGGCCCAGCTAATTTTTTGTGTGTTTTTAGTACAGACAGGATTTCACTTTGTTGGCCAGGCTGGTTTCAAATTCCTGACCTCGTGATCCACGTACCTTGGCCTCCCAAAGTGCTGGTGTTACAGGCGTGAGCCACCAAGCCCAGCCCCAACTTCTCCTAATGTTGCTATTTTGATCTTCTTTTTTAAATCATGAATGTTCTCAATGGCATCTAGAATGGTGAATCCTTTCTGGTAGGTTTTCAATTATTTTGCCCAGATCCATTAAAGGAATCACTTTCTAGAGAAGCTATAGCTTTATGAAATATATTTTTAAGTGATAAGACTTGAAAGTTGAAATTATTCTTTGATCCAAGGGCACCAGAATGAATGTTGGGTTAGTAGGCACGAAAACAATATTCAGCTCTTTATACATCTCTGTAAAAGCCCTTGAGTACCAGGGGCATTGTCAGTGAGCGGTAATACTTTGAAAGGAATCTTATTTCTTGAGCAGTAGGTGTCAACATTGGGCTTAAGATATTCAGTAAACCGTATTTGTAAACCGATAGTCTGTCATCCAGGCTTTGTTCCCATTTGTAGAGTACAGGCAGAGCTGTGTTTTATCATAATTCTTCAGGGCCCTTGGATTTTCAGAATAGTAAATCATCATTGGTTTCAAGTTAACATCACCAACTGCATTAACCCTTAACAAAAGTGTCAGCAAGTCCTTTGAAGCGTTAAAGCCAGGTATCAACTCCTCTCTAGCTGGGAACATCTTAGATGGCATCTCCTTATAGTAGAAGGCTGTTTTGTCTCCATTGCAAATCTGTTTATTGCAGCCATCTTAATCAGTTATCTTCTAGATAGCTTTCTGCAGCTTTTCCATCAGTACTTGCTGCTTTATCTTGCGCTTTTATGTGATGGAGATGACTTTTTTCCTTAATCCTCAAGAAACAAGCTCTTCTAGCTTCAGACTTTTCTTCTGCAGCTGCCTCACCTCTCTGAGTCTTCATAGAATTGAAGAAAGGCTGGGTGCGGTGGCTGTCACACCTGTAATCCTAGCACTTTGGGAGGCCGAGGCAGACAGATCACCTGAGGTTGAGAGTTCGACACCAGTCTGACCAACGTGGAGAAACCCCATCTCTACTAAAAATACAAAAAATAGCCAGGCATGGTGGCGCATGCCTGTAATCCCAGCTACTCGGGATGCTGAGGCAGGAGAATGGCTTGAACTTAGGAGGCAGAGGTTGCGATGAGCCAAGATCGCGCCATTACACTCCAGCTTGGGCAAGAAGAATGAAAATCTGTCTCACAAACAAAGAAAAAAAGTAAAAAGAGAGGCTTAGGCTTAATGGAATGTTTTTTTTTTATCTTCTATCTAGACCAATTAAACTTTCTTCATAACAGCAAGATTGTTTAGCTTTTTATCATTCATGTGTTCACTGGAGTAGTAATTTAAATTTCTTTCCAGAACACTTCCTTTGCATTCACAACTTGGCTAAGTGTTTGTTGCATGAGGTCTAGCTACTGGCCTGTCTTGCTTACAGTATGCCTTCCTCACTAAGCTTAATTATTTCTTCCTTTTGGTTTAAAGTGACAGACATGCAACTCTTCTTTCACTTGAACATATAGAGGCTATTTTAGGGTTATTAATTGGCCACATTTTAATATTAATAAAAAGAAGCCTGATAAAAAGAGAGAGAAAGAGAAATGGCACGTTGGTGGGGCAGTCAGAACAAAGGCATTTGTCAATTGTTTGCTGTCTTATCCGGGTGTGATTTGTGGATCCCAAAACAATGACAACAGTAGCATTAAAGATCACTGATTACAGATCACCATAACAGATTCAATAATAAAAAGCTTAAAATACTCTGAGAATGACCGAAATGTGACACAGAGACGTGAAGTGAGCACGTGCTGTAGGAACAATGGTGCCAGTGAGACCTGCTTATTGCAGGGTGGCCACAAACCTTCAATATGTAAAAAACATGATCACAAAACACAATAAAACAAAGTGCAGTGAAACAAGATGTGTCTGTCTTTTGATAGACTCTGACAATCTCTATCTTTGAATTGGTACGTTCATACTATTAACATTCCAAGTGATTATTGATATCATTGGATTAATATCTACTTTATTTTTTACTGTTTTCTATTCATTCTCCTCAGTCTTCATTCTTTTGTCTACCACTCTTTTTCTGCCTTTTGCAGTTTTCATTGATGATTTTAGATGACTACATTTTCCCTGTCTTTCTTAGCATATACTTCTCTTTTTAAAACTTTTTTTAACTACTTGCCACAGAATTTGCAATATACATTTACAACAAATTCAAGTCCACTTTCAAATAACACTATCCCACTATCCCACAAATAAGACTACCTGCTTAACAAACAAAACACCTAATTCCTCAGTATCATTTACAACCAATTCAAGTCCACTTTCAAATAACACTATCCCACTATCCCACAAATAAGACTACCTACTTAACAAACAAAACACCTAATTCCTCAATATACATTTACAACCAATTCAAGTCCACTTTCAGATAACACTATCCCACTTCACGGGTGACTACCTGCTTAACAAAGAAAACACCTGATTCCTCCCTCCCATCCTTCCATTCCATTCCTTGTATTAGTGTTACTCATTTCACTTGTGTATAAGCATACATAATCTATCTGTGTGTATTTGTTTTTGTCTATGAACTTCTTGGTCAGATCAATTAAGAATAAATACATAGGTTTTTATTGTACCATAATTCTTTCTTTAATGATCTTTTTTAAAAAATGTTGATCCAGGTTTCAGTTAAATATCTTTTGTTTCCCTCTAAAGAATTTCATTTAACATTTCTTGCAAGACAGGTCTCCTGGCAACAAGTTTCTTGAATTTTTATTTTTCTGAGGAAGGCCTTAATTCTCCTTCACTTTTGAAGGGTGGTTTCAGTGGGTACAGAAACTTAGGTTGGTGGGGTTTTTTCTGTCAACATTTTGAATTTTTCATTTCACTGTCTTCTTGCTTTCACAGTTTCTGCAATGTTGAATGCAGTTCTTATCTTTGTGTCTCTGTAGGTAAGGTGTTTTCTGCCCCATCTCTGGTTTCTTTCAGAATTTTCCTTTATCTTTTATTTCATATAGTTTGAAAATTATATGTCCAAGTGTAGGTTGTTGGCATTTATGCTGCCTGGTGTTCTCGGAGCTTCCTGGATCTTTGGTTTGTTGTCTGACATTAATACTGGAAGTTCTCAGACATGGTTGTTGCAGAACTTTCTTCTATTTCTTCTCCTCCTGGTATTCTCATTACTCTGTTTCACCTTTTGTAGTTGTCCCACAGTCTTGGATATCATCTTCTGTTCTTTTCAGTGTTTCTTTTCTTTAGTTTTCGAAGTTTCTGATGATAAATCCTCAAGCTCAGAGATTCTTTACTCAGCTGAGTCCAGTCTACTAATAAGCCATCAGAGGTATTCTTCAGTTATTTACCACATTTTTATCACTACATTATGTTGAAGGTTCTTACGTTGTCTGTCTTTCTGATTACATTACCCATCTACACTTGAATGCTGTCTACTTCATTCATTAGAGCCCTTAGCATATTGTCGAGAGGTTTAAAAAAAATCCAAAATCATATTTTTGTCTGCTTCTGAAGCTTGTTCTGTTGACAAAATTGTATTTTTTTTCTTTTTTTGGATTTTAGTATGCTTGCAATTTTTCCCCTTTATTCTCATGCATGAAGTACCCACTAAAAGTGACTGCTGTTAGTATAGCTTCAGTAATGTGGTGATGAGGTGACAGGACAGGTGAGGCTTTCTTAGTGTCTTTAGGCTACTATAACAAAATACTTTAGACTGAGTAATTCATAAACAAGAGAGATTATTGCTCACAGATCTGGAGGCTGGAAAGTCCAAGACTAAAGGGCCAGGATATTTGATGTTTGGTGAAGGTCAAACATTCAGACACTTGCAATGACTATAATGACAGCAGAAGTCTTCAGGAATCCTATGTGAGGGACAAACACTCAGAAGCCAGCTGGAGTGTTCTAGAATCCTATGTGAGGGACAAACATTCAGAGCCCAGCAGCAGTGTTCTGGAATCCTATGTGAGGGACAAACTTTCAGACCCTCGTAGCAGGGTTCTGGAATCCTATGTGAGGGGCAAACATTTAGACCCTCGTAGCACTGTTCTGGAATACTATGTGAGGGACAAACATTCAGACCATGGCAGTTCTGAAATGCTATGTGAAGGAAAAACATTCAGACCCTCGTAGCAGTGTTCCTGAATCCTATGTGAAGGACAGACATTTAGACCCTCGAAGCAGTGTTCTGCAGTCTTAAGTGAGGGACAAACATTCAGACCTTCGTAGCAGTGTTCTGGAATCCTTTTTGAGGGACAGACATTGAGACCCCAGCTGCAGTGGTCTGGAATCCTATGTGAGGGACGAACATTCACACCCCAGCAACAGTGTTCTATAATCGTATGTGAGGGACAAGTATTCAGACTCCAGCAGCAGTGTTCTGGAATCTTATGTGAGGGACAAACATTGAGACCCTCGTAGCAGTGTTGTGGAATCCTACGTGAGACACAGACATTCGTACCACAGCAGAAGTGTTCTGGAATCCTATGTGAGGGACAACCATTCAGACCACAGCAGGAGTGTTCTGGAATCGTATGTGAGGGACAAATATTCAGACCCTCATAGCAGTGTTCTGGAATCCTTTGTGAGGGAGAAACATTCAGACCCCAGCAGGAGGGTTCTGGAATCCTGTGTGAGGGACCAACATTCAGACCCTTGTAGCAGTGTTCTGGAATGCTATGTGAAAGACAACCATTCAGACCCTCATAGCAATGTTCTGGAATCCTATGTCAGGGACATTCAGACCCCAGCCTCAATGTTCTGGAATCCTATGTGACAGACAAACATTCAGACCACAGCAGGAGCATTTGGAATCCTAAGTGATGGACAAACGTTCAGACCACAGCAGTAGTGTTCTGCAATCCAATGTGAGGGACAAACATTCAGACCCCAGCAGCAGTGTTCCGGAATCCTATGTGACAGACAAACATTCCGACCACAGCAGGAGTGTTCTGTAATCCTATGTGCAGTACAAACTTTCAGACCACAGCAGCAGTTTTCTTGAATCCTATGTGAGGGACAAACATTCAGACCCCAGGAACAGTGCTCTGAAATCCTATGTTAAGAGCAAGCATTCACATCCCAGCGTGAATGTTCTCGAATCCTATGTGAGGAACAAACATTCAGACCACAGCAGGAGTGTTCTCAAATCCTATGTGACGAACAAGCATTCAGACCACAGCAGGAGTGTTCTGGAATCCTACGTGAGAGACAAACATTCAGACCCCAGGAGCAGTGTTCTGAAATCCTATGTCAAGAGCAAGCATTCACATCCCAGCGTGTATGTTCTCGAATCCTATGTGAGGAGCAAACATTCAGACCACAGCAGGAGTGTTCTCGAATCCTATTTGAGGAACAAGCATTCAGACCACAGCAGGAGTGTTCTGGAATACTATGTGAGGGACAAACATTCAGACCCTCTTAGCAGTGTTCTGGAGTCCTATGTGATGAACAAACTTTCAGACCACAGCAGGAGTCTTCTGGAATCCTATGTGAGGGTCAAACATTCAGACCCCAGCAGTATTGTTCTGGAATCCTATGTGAGGACAAACATTCAGACCCACGTGGCAGTGTTCTGGAATCCCATGTGAGGGACAAATATTCAGACCACAACAGGAGTGCTCTGGAATCCTATGTGAGGGGCAAACATTCAGAACCTTGTAGCAGTGTTCTGGAATCTTATGTGAGGGAGAGACATTTAGACCCTCGCAGCAGTGTTCTGGTATCCCATGTGAGGGACAAACATTCAGACCCTCCCAGCTGTGTTCTGGAATTCTATGTGAGGGAAAGACATTCAAACTCCAGCAGCAGTTTTCTGGAATCCGATTTGAGGGGCAGACATTCAGACCCCAGCAGCAGTGTTCTGGAATGCTATGTGAGGGACAAACATTCAGACCACGGGAGCAGTGTTCTGGAATCCTACGTGAAGGACAAACATTAAGACCCTCGTAGCAGTGTCCTGGAATCATATGTGAGGGACAACCATTCAGACACCAGCAGAAGTGTTCTGGAATCCTAGGTGTGGTAGAAACATTCAGAACCTAGTAGCAGTGTTCTGGAATCCTATGTGAGGGACATACATTCAGACCACAGCAGCAGTGTTCTGAAATCCTATATGATGGACCAATACTCAGACCCTTGCAACAGTGTTCTGGAATACTAGGTGAGAGAGAAATATTCAGACCCTCGTAGCAGTGTTTTGAAATTCTATGTGACTGACAAACATTCAGACCCTCCCAGCCGTGTTCTGGAATTCTATGTGAGGGAAAGACATTCAAACTCCAGCAGCTGTGTTCTGTAATCCTGTGTGAGGGACAAACATTCAGACCCCAGGAGCAGTGTTCTGAAATCCTATGTTAAGGGAAACAATGAGACCCCAGTATGAATGTTCTGGAATCCTATGTGAGGGACAAACATTCAGATCACAGCAGGACTGTTCTGGAATCTTATATGAGGGATAAGCATTCAGACCCTCGTAGCAGTGTTCTGGAATCCTATGTGAGGGAGAAGCATTCAGAGCACAGCAGGAGTGTTCTGGAACCCCATGTTAGGGACAAACATTCAGAACCTCGTAATATTGTGCTGGAGTGTTCTGGAATCCCATGTGAGGGACAAACATTCAGATCCTCGCAGCAGTGTTCTGGAATTCTATGTGAGTGACAAACATTCACACTCCAGCAGCAGTGTTCTGTATTCCTATGTGAAGGACAAACATTCAGAACCCAGGAGCAGTGTTTTGAAATCATATGTTGAGGGCAAACACACAGACCCTAGCATCAATTTTCTAGAATTGTATGTGAGGGACATACATTCAGACCCTCGCAACAGTGTTCTGGAATCCTAGATGGGGGACAAACATTCAGACCCCAGCAGCAGGCTTCTGGAATCCTATGTGGGGGACAAACATTCAGACAATGGCAGCAGTGTTCTGGAATCCTATGTGAGGGACAAACACTCAGAGCCTCGTAGCAGTGCTCTGGAATCCTATGTGAGGGACAAACACTCAGAGCCTCATAGCAGTGTTCTGGAATCCTATGTGAGGAACAAACAATCAGACCACAGCAAAGTGTTCTGGAATCCTTTGTGAGGGACAAACATTCAGATCACAGCAGCAGAGTTCTGGAATCCTACGTGAAAGACAAATATTCAGACCCTCGTAGCAATGTTCTGGAATCCTATGTGAGGGACAAACTTTCAGACCACAACAGGAGTGTTCTGGAATCCTATGTGAGGGACAAACATTCAGACCCTTGTAGTAGTTTTCTGGAATCCTAAGTGAGGGACAAACATTCAGACCTTCTTAGCAGTGTTCTGGAATCCTATGTGAGGGACAAACATTCAGAATTTCATAGCAGTGTTCTGGAATCCTACGTGAGGGATAAACATTCAGACCACAGCAGGAGTGTTCTGGAATCCTACGTGAGGGACAAACATTCAGACCCTCGTGGCAGTGTTCTGGAATCCTATGTGAGAGACAAACATTCAGACCCTCATAACAGTTTTCTGGAATGCTACGTGACGGACAAACATTCCCACCACAGCAGGAGTGTTCTGGAATCCTATGTGAGGGCAAACATTCAGATCACAGCAGGGGTGTTCTGGAATGCTATGTGAGGGACAAATATTCAGACACTAGCATCAGGCTTCTGGAATCCTACATGAGGGACAAATATTCAGACAACGACAGCAGTGTTCTGGAATCCTATGTGGGGGACAAACATTCAGAGCCTCGTAGTGTTGTGGAATCCTATGTGAGAGACAGACATTTAGGCCACAGCAGCAGTGTTCTGGAATCCCATGTGAGGGACAAACATTCAGATCCGAACAGGAGTGTTCTGGAATCCTATGTGAGGGACAAACATTTAGACCGTCTTAGCAGTGTTCTGGAATCCTATGTGAGGGACAAACATTCATATCCTCGTAGCATTGTTATGGAATCCTATGTGAGGGACAAACATTAAGACCTTCGTAACAGTGTTCTGGAATCCTATGTGAGGAACAAACATTCAGACCACAGCAGGAGTGTTCTGGAATGTTTTCTGTGGGACAAACATTCAGACCACAGCAAGAGTGTTCTGGAATCCTATGTGAGGGTCAAATATTCCGACCCTTGTTGCAGTGTTCTGGAATCCTATGTGAAGGACCAACATTCAGACACTCCTAGCAGTGTTCTGGAATGCTATGTGACAGACCACCATTTACACCCTCGTACCACTGTTCGAGAATCCTATGTCAGGGACATTCAGACACCAGCCACAGTGTTCTGGAATCATATGTGACAGAGAAACATTCAGACCACAGCAGCAGCGTTCTGGAATCCTATGTGAGGGACAAACTTTCAGACCACGGCAGGAGTGTTCTGGAATCCTATGTGAGGGACAACCATTCAGACCCTCGTAGTAGTTTTCTGGAATCCTAAGTGAGGGACAAACATTCAGACCTTCTTAGCAGTGTTCTGGAATCCTATGTGAGGGACATTCAGAATTTCATAGCAGTGTTCTGGAATCCTACGTGACGGACAAACATTCAGACCACAGCAGGAGTGTTCTGGAATCCTATGTGAGGGACAAAAATTCAGACCCCAGCATGAATCTTCTGGAATCCTATGTGAGGGACAAACATTCAGACTCTCATAGCAGTGTTCTGGAATACTGTGTGGGGGACAAACATTCAGACCACAGCAGGAGTGTTCTGGAATCCTACGTGAGGGACAAACATTCAGACCCTCGTGGCAGTGTTCTGGAATCCTATGTGAGAGACAAACATTCAGACCCTCATAACAGTTTTCCGGAATCCTATGTGAGGGAAAAACATTCCCACCACAGTAGGAGTGTTCTGGAATCCTATGTGAGGGCAAACATTCAGATCACAGCAGGAGTGTTCTGGAATGCTATGTGAGAGACAAACATTCAGACACTCGCAGCAGGCTTGTGGAATCCTACGTGAGGGACAAATATTCAGACAACGGCAGCAGTGTACTGGAATCCTATGTGGGGGACAAACATTCAGAGCCTCGTAGTGTTGTGGGATCCTATGTGAGGGGCAGACATTTAGACCACAGCAGCAGTGTTCTAGAATCCCATGTGAGAGACAAACATTCAGACCCGAACAGGAGTGTTCTGGAATCCTATGTGAGGGACAAATATTCAGACCCTCTTAGCAGTGTTCTGGAATCCTATGTGAGGGACAAACATTCATATCCTCGTAGCAGTGTCATGGAATCCTATGTGAGGGACAAACATTCAGACCTTCGCAGCAGTGTTCTGGAATCCTATGTGAGGGACTAACATTCAGACCACAGCAGGAATGTTCTGGAATGTTTTCTGTGGGACAAACATTCAGACCACAGCAAGAGTGTTCTGGAATGCCATGTGAGAGACAAACATTCAGACCCTCTTAGCAGTGTTCTGGAATCCTATGTGAGGGACAAACATTCAGACCCTCGTAGCAGTGTTCTGGAATCCTATGGGAGGGACAAACATTCAGACCACAGCAGCAGTGTTCTGGAAACCTAAGTGAGGGACAAACATTCAGAACCTCATAACAGTGTGCTGGAATCTTATGTGAGGGACAGACATTTAGACTCTCGCAGCAGTATTCTAGAATCCCATGTGAGGGACAAACATTTGGACCCTCGCAGCAGTTGTCTCAAATTCTATGGGAGTGACAAACATTCAGACTCCAGCAGCAGTTTTGTGTAGTCCTATGTGTGGTACAAACAGACCCCAGGAGCAGTGTTCTGAAATCCTATGTTAAGGGCAAACATTCAGACTCCAGCATCAGTGTTCTGGAATCGTATGTGAGGGACATACATTCAGACCCTCGCAGCAGTGTTCAGGAATCCTAGATGAGGGAAAAACATTCAGACACCAGCAGAAGGCTTCTGGAATCCTATGTGAAGGACAAAGTTTCAGACAACGGCAGCAGTGTTCTGGATTCCTATGTCAGGGACATTCAGAGCCTCGCAGCAGTGTTCTGGAATCCTATGTGAAGAACAAACAATCAGACCACAGCAGGACTGTTCTGGAATCCTTTGTGAGGGACAAACATACAGACCACAGCAGCAGTGTTCTGGAAACCTAAGTGAGGGACAAACTTTCAGACCCGAGCTGGAGTGTTCTGGAATCCTCTGTGAGGGAGAAACATTCAGACCCTCGTAGCAGTGTTCTGGAATCCTATGTGAGGGACAAAGTTTCAAAAGACAACACGACTGTTCTGGAATCCTATGTGAGGGACAAACATTTAGACCCTCGTAGCAGTTTTCTAGAATCTTAAGTGAGGGACAAACATTCAGAACCTTGTAGCAGTGTTCTGGAATCCTATGTGAGGGAGAAACATTCAGACCTTCGTAGCAGTGTTCTGGAATCCTATGTGAGGGACCAACATTGAGGCCCTCGTAACAGTGTTCTGGAATGCTTTGTGACAGACAACCATTCAGACCCTCGTAGCACTGTTTTGGAATCCTATGTCAGGGATATTCAGAGCCCAGCCGCAGTGTTCTGGAATCCTATGTGACAGACAAACATTCAGACCACAGTAGCAGCGTTCTGGAATCCTATGTGAGGGTCAAAGTATCAGACCGCAGCAGGAGTGTTCTGGAATCCTATGTGAGGGACATTCAGACCATTGCAGGAATGTTCTGGAATCCTATGTGAGGGACAAACTTTCAGACCCTCGTAGCAGTGTTCTGGAATCAAATGTTGGGTACAAACATACAGACCCCAGCAGCAGTGTTCTGAAGCCCTATGTGAGGAACCAACAATCAGACCCTCATAGCAGTGTTCTGGAATTCTATGTTAGGGATAAACATTCAGACTCCAACGTTGTTCTTGAATGTTATGTGAGGAACAAACATTCAGACCACAGCAGGAGTGTCCTGGAATGCTATGTGAGGGACCAACATTCAGACCCTTGTAGCCGTGTTCTGGTATGCTGTGTGACAGACAAACATTCAGACCCTGGTAGCAGCATTCTGCCATCCTACATCAGGGACATTCATACCACAGCCTCAGTGTTCTGGAATCCTATGTGACAGACAGTCATTCAGATCACAGCAGGAGTGTCCTGGAATGCTATGTGAGGGACCAACATTCAGACCCTTGTAGCCGTGTTCTGGAATCCTATGTCAGGGACCAACATTCAGACCCTCGAAGCAGTGTTCTGGAGTTCTATGTGAGAGACAAACATTCAGACCCTAGTAGCAGTGTTCTGGAATCCTATGTCAGGGACATTCAGACAACAGACACAGTGTTCTGGAATTCTGTGACAGACAAACATTCCGACCACAGCAGAAATGTTCTGGAATCCTATGTGAGGGACAAACATTCAGAACACAGCAGGAGTGTTCTGGAATCCCTTGTGTAGGACAAACATAAAGACCCTTGTTGCAGTGTTCTGGAATCCTATGTGAGGGGCAAACATTGAAATCCTAGCAGCAGTGTTCTGGATTTTTATGTGATGGACAAACATTCAGACCCTTGTTGCAGTGTTCTGGAATCCTATGGGAGGGACTAACCCTCAGAACCCAGCAGCAGTGTTCTGGAAGCCTATGTGAGGGAGAAAGGCTCAGAATCCAGCAACACTGTTCTGCAATCCTATGGGAGGGACAAACATTCACACCAGAGCAGGAGTGTTCTGGAATCCCATGAGAGGGGAAAACATTCCGACTCCAGCAGCAGTGTCCTTGAATGCTATGTGAGGGACAAACATTCAGACCACAGCAGGAGTGTTCTGGAGTCCTATGTGAGGGAGAAACATTCAGAACACAGCAGGAGACTTCTGGAAACCATTGTGAAGGACAAACATACAGACCTTTGTAGCAGTGTTCTGGAATTCTATGTGAGGAAAAAACATTCAGAACACAGCAGGAGTGTTCTGAAATCCTATGTCAGGGACAAACATTCAAACCACAGCAGGAGTGTTCTGGAGTCCTATGTGAGTGTCAAATATTCCGACAACAGCAGGAGTGTTCTGGAATCCTATGTGAGGGACAAACATTCAGACCCTCGTAGCAGTGTTCTGGAATCCTATGTGAGGGAAAATCATTCATACCCTCGTAGCAGTGTTCTGGAATCCTATGTGAGGGTTAAAATCTCAGAATCCAGGAGCAGTGTTCTGGAATCCTATGTGAGGGACAAACATTCAGTCCACAGCAGCAGTGTTCTGGAAAGCTATGTGAGGGACAAACATTCAGACCATAGCAGGAGTGTTCTGGAATCCTATGTGAGGGACAAACATTCAGACCCTGGTAGCAGTGTTCTGGAATCCTATGTGAGGGAAAATCATTCATACCCTCGTAGCAGTGTTCTGGAATCCTATGTGAGGGTTAAAAACTCAGAATCCAGGAGCAGTGCTCTGGAATCCTATGTGAGGGACAAACATTCAGTCCACAGCAGCAGTGTTCTGGAAAGCTATGTGAGGGACAAACATTCAGACCATAGCAGGAGTGTTCTGGAATCCTATGTGAGGGACAAACATTCAGACCCTCATAGCAGTGTTCTGGAATCCTATGTGAGGGAAAATCATTCATACCCTCGTAGCAGTGTTCTGGAATCCTATGTGAGGGTTAAAATCTCAGAATCCAAGAGCAGTGTTCTGGAATCCTATGTGAGGGACAAACATTCAGTCCACAGCAGCAGTGTTCTGGAAAGCTATGTGAGGGACAAACATTCAGACCATAGCAGGAGTGTTATGGAATTCTATGTGAGAGATAAACATTCAGACCACAGCGGGAGTGTTCTGGAATGCTATCTGAAGAACAAAATTCAGAACCCAGCAGCAGTGTTCTGGAATCCTATGTGAGAGGCAAACATTCAGATGCCAGCAGCAGTGTTTTGGAATTGTATGTGATGGACAAACATTCAGACCCTTGTAGCTTGTTCTGGAATCCTATGTGAGACACAAACACCCAGAACCCAGCAACAGTGTTCTGGAATCCTATGTGAGGAACAAATATTCAGACCACAACAGGAGTGTTTTCTAATCCTGTCTGAAGGAGAAACATTGAGACCCTTGTAGCTGTTTTCTGGAATCGTATGTGAGGAACAAACACTCAGACCACAGCAGGAGTGTTCTGGAATCCTGTGTGAGGGAGAAATATTCAAACCACTGCAGGAGTGTTCTGGAATCCAATTTGAGGGACAAACATGCAAACCCTCTTAGGAGTGTTCTGAAATCCTATGTGATGAACAAACATTCAGACCATAGCAAGAGTGTTCTGGAATGCTATGCGAGGTACAAACATTCAGACCACAGCAGGAGTGTCCTGGAATCCCATGTGAGGTACATACATTCAGACCCTCGTAGCAGTGTTCTTGAATGCTATGTGAGGGACAAAAATTCACACCACAGCAGGAGTGTTCTGGAGTCCTATGTGATGGACAAACATTCAGAACACAGCAGGAGTGTTTTGAAATCCTATGTGAGGGACAAATATTCAGACCACAGGAGTGTTCTGGAATCCTTTGTGAAGGACAAACGTTCAGACCCTTGTAGCAGTGTTCAGGAATCCTATGTGAGGGATAAACATTGAGACCCCAGTAGGAGTGTTCTGGAGTCCCATGTGAGGGACAAAGATTCAGACTTTTGTAGCAGTGTTTTGGAATCTTATGTGAGGGACAAACATTCAGACCACAGCAGGAGGGCTCTGGAATCCTATGTGAGGGACAAACATTCAGAACTTCATAGCCGTGTGCTGGAATCTTATGTGAGGGAGAGATATTTAGACCCTCGGAGCAGTGTTCTGGAATCCCATAGGAGAGACATACATTCAGACCCTCCCAGCAGTGTTCTGGAATTCTATGTGAGGGACAGACATTCAAACCCCAGCAGCAGTGTTCTGGAATGTGATATGAGGTACAAACATTCAGACACCAGCAGAAGTGTGCTGGAATACTATGTGAGGGAGAACACTCAGACCCTCGTAGCAGTGTTGTGGAATCCTATGTGAAGGACAAACATTCATACCCTCATAGCAGTATCCTGGAATCATATGTGAGGGATAAACGTTGAGACTCCAGCAGAGGTGTTCTGGAATCCTAGGTGTGGGACAAACATTCAAACCCTCATAACAGTGTTCTAGAATCCTATGTGAGGGAAAAACTTTCAGACCATGGCAGCAGTGTTCTGGAATGCTACATGAGGGAGAAACATCCTGACCCTCCTAGCAGTGTTCTGCAATCCTATGTGAGGGACAGACATTTAGACCCTCGCAGCTGTGTTCTGGAGTCCTATGGGAGGGACAAACATTCAGACCCTCGCAGCAGTGTTCTGGAATCCTTTGTGAGAGAGAGACATTCAGACCCTCATAGCGGTGTTCTGGAATCCTGTGTGTGACAGACAAACATTCAGACCCTGGTATCAGCGTTCTGCCATCCTATATCAGGGACATACTTACCCCAGCCACAGTGTTCTGGAATCCTATGTGACAGACAAACATACAAACAACAGCAGGAGTGTTCTGGAATCCTATGTGAGGAACAAACATTCAGACCCCAGCAGCAGTGTTCTGGAATCTTATGTGAGGGAAAAGCATTCATACCCTCGTAGGGGTGTTCTAGAATCCTATGTGAGGGAAAAGAAACTCAGAATCCAGGAGCACTGCTCTGGAATCCTTTGTGAGGGACAAATATTCAGTCCACAGCAGCAGTGTTCTGGAATGCTATGTGAGGGGCAAACATTCAGACCATAGCAGGAGAGTTCTGGAGTCCTATGTGAGGGACAAACATTCAGACCTCAGCAGGAGTGTTATGGAATCCTACATGAGGGACAAATATTCAGACCACAGCAAGATTGTTCTGGAATGCTCTCTGAGGGACAAACATTGAGACCTCAGCAGCAGTGTTCTGGAATCCTATGTGAGGGACAAACATTCAGACCCCAGCAGCAGTGTTTTGGAATCTTATGTGATGTACCAACATTCAGACGCTTGTAGCAGTGTTCTGGAATCCTATGTAAGGGACAAACACTCAGAACCCACCAACAGTGTTCTGCAATCCTATGTGAGGGACAAATATTCAGACCCTCGTAGGGGTGTTCTGGAATCCTTTTTGAGGGACAAATGCTCAGAATCCAGCAGCTGTGTTCTGGAATCCTATGTGAGGGACAAACATTCAGACCAGTGCAGAATTGTTCTGGAATCCTATGTGAGGGACAAACATTCAGACTCCAACAGTAGTGTTCTTGAATGCTATGTGAGGGACAAACTTTCAGACCACAGCAGGAGTGTTCTGGAGTCCTATGTGAGGGACAAACATTCAGAACACTGCAGGAGTGTTCTGATTTCCTATATGGGGAACAAACATTCTGACCACAGCAGGCGTGTTTTGGAATCCTATGTGAGGATCAAACATTCAGACCACAGCAGGAGTGTTTTGTAATCCTGTCTGAGGGACAAACATTGAGACCCTTGTAGCTGTGTTCTGGAATCGTATGTGAAGAACAAACTTTCAGACCACAGCAGGAGTGTTCTGGAAACCTGTGTGAGGGAGAAACATTCAGACCACTGCAGGAGTGTTCTGCAATCCTATGTGAGGGACAAACACTCATTCCACAGCACCAGTGTTCTGGAATGTTATTTGAGGGGCAAACATTCAGACCATAGAAGAAGAGTTCTGGAATCCTACATGAGGGACAAGCATTCAAACCACAGCAGGAGTGTTATGGAATCCTACATGAGGGACAAACATTCAGACAACAGCAAGATTGTTCTGGAATGCTCTCTGAGTGACAAACAATGAGACCCCAGCAGCAGTGTTCTGGAATCCTAAGTGAGGGACAAACATTCAGACAACAAAAGGAGTGTCCTGGAGTCCTATGTGAGGGACAAGCACTCAGAAGCCCACAGCAGTGTTATGGAATCCTATGTGAGGGACAAACATGCAGACCTCAGCAGCAGTGTTCTGGGATCCTATGTGAGGGACAAACATTCAGACCCCAGGAGCAGTGTTCTTGGATGCCATGTGAGAGACAAATCTTCAGACCACAGCAGGAATGTGCTCGAATCCTATATGAAGGACAAGCATTCTGACTCTTGTAGCAGTTTTCTGGAATCCTATGTGAGGGACAAACCTTCAGACCTCAGCAGCAGTGTTCTGGGATCCTATGTGAGGGACAAACATTCAGACCCCAGGAGCAGTGTTCTTGGATGCCATGTGAGAGACAAATCTTCAGACCACAGCAGGAATGTGCTCCAATCCTATGTGAAGGACAAGCATTCTGACTCTTGTAGCAGTTTTCTGGAATCCTATGTAAGGGAGAAACATTCAGACCCCAGTAGCAGCGTTGTGAAATCTTATGTGAGGGACAAACATTCAGACCCTCCTAGCAGTGTTCTGGAATCCTATGTGAGGGACAAACATTCAGACCCTCCTAGCAGTGTTCTGGAATCCTATGTGAGGGACAAACATTCAGACCCTCATAGCAGTGTTCTGGAATCCTATGTGAGGAACAAACATTCAGACAACTGTAGGATTGTTCTGGAATCCTATGTGAGGGAGAAACGTTCAGACCCTCGTAACAGTGTTCTGGAATCCTATGTGAGGGACAAACATTCAGACCAGAGCAGGAGTGTTCTGGAATCGCATGTGACGAAAAAACTTTCAGAGCACAGTAGGAGTGTTCTGGAATCCTACGTGATGGACAAACATTCAGAACCCAGCAGCAGTGTTCTGGAATATTATGTGAGGGGCAAAAGCTCAGACTCCAGCAGCAGTGTTCTTGAATGCTATCTCAGAGACAAACATTCAGACCACAGTTGGAGTGTTCTGGAGTCCTATGTGAGGGACAAACATTCAGATCACAGCAGGAGTGTTCTGAAATCCTATGTGAGGGACAAACATTCAGATCACAGCAGGAGTCTTCTGGAATCCCTTGTGAAGGACAAACATTCAGACACTTGTGGTAGTGTTCTGGAATCCTATGTGAGGGACAAGCATGCAGAACACTGCAGGAGTGTTCTGAAATCCTATGTGAGGAACAAACATTCAGACCACACTAGGAGTGTTATGTAATCCTATGTGAGGGACCAACTTTCAGACCCCAGCAGCAGTGTTCTGGAATCCTATTTAGGGAAAATCATTCATACCCTCGCAGCAGTGTTCTGGAATCCTATTTGAGGGAAAAAAACTCAGAATCCAGGAGCAATGTTCTGGAATCCTTTGTCAGGGAAAAACATTCAGTCCGCAGCAGCAGTCTTCTGGAATGCTATGTGAGGGACAAACATTCAGATCGTAGCAGAATTGTTCTGGAATCCTATGTGAGGGACAAACAGTCAGACCACAGCAGCAGTGTTATGGAATCCTATGTGAGGGACAGATATTCAGACCACAGCAGGAGTGTTCTGGAATGCTGTCTGAGGGACAAACATTGAGACCCCATTAGCAGTGCTCTGGAATATCATTTAATGGACAAACATTCAGACCCTTGTAGCAGTGTTCTGGAATCCTATGTGTGGGACAAACACTCAGAACCCAGAAGCAGTATTCTGGAATCCTAAGTAAGGGACAAATATTCAGACCCTCTTAGCAGTGTTCTGGAATCTTATGTGAATGACAATCGCTCAGAATCCAGCACCAGTGTTCTGAAATCATATGTGAAGGAAAAACCTTCAGACCAGAGCAGTAGTGCTGTGGAATTGTATGTTAGAGACAAACATTCAGACTCCAGCAGCAGTGTTCCTGAATGCTATCTGAGGGACAAACATCCTAACCACAGCAGGAGTGTTATGGAGACGTATGTGAGGAACAAATATTCAGAAAACAGCAGGAGTGTTCTGGAATCCTATTTGAGGGAAAAAAAACTCAGAATCCAGGAGAAGTGTTCTGGAATCCTACGTCAGGGAAAAACATTCAGTCCACAGCAGCAGTCTTCTGGAATGCTATGTGAGGGACAAACATTCAGATCGTAGCAGAATTGTTCTGGAATCCTATGTGAGGGACAGTCAGACCACAGCAGCAGTGTTATGGAATCCTATTTGAGGGGTAAATATTCAGACCACAGCAGGAGTGTTCTGGAATGCAGTCTGAGGGACAAACATTGAGACCCCAGCAGCAGTTCTCTGGAATATCATTTAATGGACAAACATTCAGACCCTTGTAGCAGTGTTCTGGAATCCTATGTGTGGGACAAACACTCAGAACCCAGCAGCAGCATTCTGGAATCCTAAGTGAGGGACAAATATTCAGACCCTCTTTGCTGTGTTCTGGAATCCTATGTGAATGACAAACCCTCAGAATCCAGCACCACTGTTCTGAACTCATATGTGAAGGACAAACCTTCAGACCAGAGCAGTAGTGCTGTGGAATTGTATGTTAGAGACAAACATTCAGACTCCAGCAGCAGTGTTCCTGAATGCTATCTGAGGGACAAACATCCTAACCACAGCAGGAGTGTTATGGAGACTTATGTGAGGGACAAATATTCAGAACACAGCAGGAGTGTTCTGGAATCTTATGTGAGGGACAAATTTTCAGAACACTGCAGGAGAGTTATGAAATCCTATGTGAGGGACAAACTTTGAAACCAAAGCAGGAGTGTTCTGGAGTCCTATGTGAGTGTGAAACATTCAGACAACAGCAGGGGTGTTCTGGAATCCTATGTGAGGAACAAACATTCAGGCCACAGTAGGAGTGTTCTGGAATCCTATGTCAGGGACAAAGATTCAGACCCTCATAACAATGTTCTGGACTCCTATGTGAGGGACAAACATTCAGACCCCAGCAGCAGTTTTCTGGAATCCTCTGTGAGGGAAAAACATTGATACCCTCATAGTGGTGTTCTGGAATCCTCTGTGAGGGAATAAAACTCAGAATCCAGGAGCATTGTTCTGGGATCCTATGGGAGGGACAAATATTCACTCCACAGCAGGAGTGTTCTGGAGTCCTATGTGAGGGACCAACATTCAGACCATAGCAGGAGTGTTCTGGAATCCTATGTGAGGGACCAACATTCAGACCATAGCAGGAGTGTTCTGGAGTCCTATGTGAGGGACCAACATTCAGACCGTAGCAGGAGTGTTCTGGAGTCCTATGTGAGGGACCAACATTCAGACCACAGCAGGAGTGTTCTGGAGTCCTATGTGAGGGTCAAACATTCAGACCCTCCTAACAGTGTTCTGGAATTTTATGTGAGGCACATTCAGACCCCAGCAGCAGTGTTTTTGAATGCTATGTGAGGGACAAACATTCAGAACCCAGCAACAGTGTTCTTGAATGCTATGTGAGGGACAAACATTCAGAACACAGCAGCAGTGTTCTGGAATCCTATGTGAGGGACAGACATTCACACAACAGCAGGAATGTTCTGGAATCCCTTGTGAAGGAGAAACATTCAGACCCTTGTAGCAGTGTTCTGGAATCCTATGCGAGCGACAGACATTCAGAACACAGCAGGAGTGTTCTGGAGTCCTATGTGAGGGTCAAACATTCAGACCCTCGTAACAGTGTTCTGGAATCCTATGTGAAGGACAAACACTCAGACTCGAGCAGCAGTTTTCTAGAATCTTATTTCAGGATCAAATATTCGGACCCTCGTAGCAGTGTTCTGGAATCCTATGTGAGGGACAAACACTCAGAACCCAGCAGCAGTGTTCTGGAATCCTATGTGAGGGAGAAACATTCAGACAACAGCAGGAGTGTGGTGGAACTGTGTGTGAGGAACAAGCATTCAGACCACAGTAGGAGTGTTCAGGAATCCTGTGTGAGGGACAAACATTCAGACCCTCATAACAGTGTTATAGAATCCCATATGAGGGACAGACAACCTAGCAGCAGTGTTCTGGAATCCTATGTGAGGGTCAAACATTCAGACCACAGCAGGAGTGTTCTGGAAACCTGTGTGAGGACAAACATTCAGACCACAGCAGGAGTGTTCTCCAATCCTATTTGATGGACAAATATTCAGACCCTCGTAGCAGTGTTCTGGAATCCTGTGTGAGGGACAAACCTTCACACCCCAGCAGCAGTGTTCTGGACACCTATGTGAAGGACAAACATTCAGACCCTCTTAGCAATGTTCCAGAATTCTATGTAAGGGACAAACACTGAGAACCCAGCAGCAGTTTTCTGGAATCCTATGTGAGTGACAAACTTTTAGACCACAGCAGGAGTGTTCTGGAGTCCTATGTGAGAGACAAATACTCAGAACCCAGCAGCAGTGTTCTGGAATCCGATGTAAAGGACAAACATTCAGATGCCAGCAGCATTTTTCTGGAATCCTTTGTGAGGGACAAACATTCAGACCCCAGCAGCAGTGTTCTTGAATGTTATGTGAGGGACAAACATTCACACCACAGCTGGAGTGTTCTGGGATCCTATGTAAGGGAGAAGCATTCAGACACTCATAGCTGTTTTCTGGAATCCTATGTGATGGACAAACATTCAGACCCACGTAGCAGTGTTCCAGAATCCTACGTAAGGGAAAAACATTCAGACCCCAGCATCAGCGTTCTGGATTTCTATGTGAGGGACAAACATTCAGACCCCAGCAGCAGTGTTCTGGGATCTCATGTGAGGGACAAACATTCATAGCATCGTACACGTGTTCTGGAATCCTATGTGAGGGACAAACACTGAGATCCCAGCAGCAGTGTTCTGGAATCCAATG
This sequence comes from Homo sapiens, assembly GCF_000001405.40. Lineage (NCBI taxonomy): Eukaryota > Metazoa > Chordata > Mammalia > Primates > Hominidae > Homo > Homo sapiens. The sequence goes on from NT_187363.1 coordinate 86,804, forward strand.
TGAGGGACAAATATTCAGACCCCAGCAGTAGTGTTCTGGAATCCTATGTGAGGGACAAACATTCAGATCCCAACAGCAGTGTTCTGAAATCCTATGTGAGGGACAAACATTCAGAGCATCGTAGCCATGTTCTGGAATCCTATGTGAGGGACAAACACTGAGATCCCAGCAGCAGTGTTCTGGAATCCTATGTGAGGGGCAAACATTCAGACCACAGCAGGAGTATTGTGTAATCCTATGTGAGGGACAAACATTCAGACCACAGCAGGAGTGTTCTGGAATTTTATGTGAGGGACAAACATTCAGACCACAGCAGGAGTGTTCTGGAATCCTTTGTGTAAGACGAACATTCAGACCCTCATAGCAGTGTTCTGTAATCCTATGTGAGGGACAAATATTCAGACCCCAGAAGCAGTGTTCTGTAATCCTATGTGAGGGACAAACATTCAGACCCCAGAAGCAGTGTTCTGGAATCCTATGTGAGGGACAGACACTGAGAACGTAGCAGCAGTGTTCTGGAATCTTGTGTGATGGACAAACATTCAGACCACAGCAGGAGTGTTCTGGAGTCCTTTGTGAGGGAGAAACAATCAGGCCACAGCAGGAGTGTTCTGATATCCTATGAGAGGGGCAAACATTCAGACCCTCCTAGCAGTGTTCTGGAATCCTGTGTGAGGGACAGACACTCAGAACCTAGCAGCAGTGTTCTGGAATCCTATGTGGAGGACAAACATTCATACCACAGGAGAAGTGTTCTTTAATCCTATATGAGGGACAAATATTCAGACCCTCATAGCACTGTTCTGGAATCCTATGTGAGGAACAAACCTTCAGAACACAGCAGCAGAGTTGTGGAGTCCTATGTGAGGGACAAACACTCAGAACCCAGCAGTAGTGTTCTGGAATCCTCTGTGAGGGACAAACATTCTGACCCTTGTAGCAGTGTTTGGGAATCCTATGTGAGGGACAAACGCTCAGAAACCCCCAGCAGTGTTGTGGAATCCTGTGTGAGGGACAAACATTGATATCACAGGAGGTGTGTCCTGGAATCCTTTGTGAGATTCAGACCACAGCAGCAGTGTTCTGGAATCTTATGTAAGGAACAAACTTTCACACCATAGTAGGAGTGTTCTGGATTCCTATGTGCTGGACAAACATTCAGACCATAGCAGGAGTGTTTTGGAATCCTCTGTGAGGAACAATCATTCAGACCACAGCAGGAATGTTCTGGAATCCTTTGTGAGGGACAAACAATCAGACCACAGCAGGAGTGTTCTGAAAACCTATGTGAGGTACAAACATTCAGACCCTCGTAGCAGAGTTCTGGAATCCTGTGTGATAGACAACTATTCAGACCCAGCAGCAGTGTTCTGGATTTCTGCATGAGGGACAAACATTTAGAGCCATGTAGCAGTGTTCTGGAATCGTACGTGAGGGACAAACACTCAGAACCCAAAAGCAGTGTTCTGGAATCCAAAGTGAGGGATAAATATTCAGTCCACAGCAGGAGTGTTCTGGAATACTATGTGAGGCGCAAACATTCAGACCACAGCACGATTATTCTGGAATCCTATGTGAGGGACAAACATTCAGATTCCAGCAGCAGTGTTCTGGAGTCCTAGTGAGGGACAATCATTCAGACCCTCGTAGCAGTGTTCTGGAATCCTAAGTGAGGGGAAATAAAACCCAGCAGCAGTGTTTTGGAATCCTATGTGAGGGACTAACATTCAGACCACAGCAAGAATGTTCTGGAATCCTATTTGAGGGACAGATATTCAGACCCTCGTAGCAGTGTTCTGGAATCCTATGTGAGGAACAAATATTCAGACCACAGCAGCAGTTTTGTGGAGTCCTATGTGAGGGACAAACACTCAGAACCCTGCAGTAGTGTTCTGGAATCCTACGTGAGTGGTAAACATTCAGACCACTGCAGGAGTGTTCTTTAATCCTTTGTGAGGAACAAACATTCAGTCCACAGCAGCAGTGTTCTGGAATCCTATGTGTGGGCAAACACTAAGAACCCAGCAGCAGTGTTCCAGAATCCTATGTGAGGGACAAACAATCAGACCCTCTTAGCAGTGTTCCTGAATTCTATGTGAGAGAGAGACACTTGCAACCCAGCAGCAGTGTTCTGGACTCCTATGTGAGGGTCAAACATTTAGACCACACTAGCAGTGTTCTGTAATCCTATGTGAGGGAAAAACATTCAGACCACAGCAGGAGTGGCCTGGAATCCTATGTGAGGGAGAAACATTCAAACCCTCCTAGCAGTATTCTGGAATCCTATGTGAGGGACAAACTTTCAGACCCCAGCAATTGTGTTCTGGAATCCTATGTGAAGGAGAAATGTTCAGACCACAGCATCAGTGTTCTGGAATCTTAAATGAGGAACAAACATTCAGACCACAGCAGGAGTGTTCTGGAATCCTATGTGAGGGACAAACACTCTGACCACAGCAGGAGTGTTCAGGAATCCTACGTAAGGGACAAACATTCAGATCCCATCTGCAGTGTTCTGGAATCCTATGTGAGGGACAAACATTCAGACCACAGCAGGAGTGTTCTGTAATCCTATGTGAGGGGGAAACATTCACACCCTCGCCACGGTGTTCTGGAATGCTATGTGGGGGACAAACCATTCAGACCCTCGTAGCAGTGTTTTGGAATCCTATGTCAGGGACAATCACTCAGACCATAGCAGCAGTGTTCTGGAATGCTATGTGAGGCACAAGCAGACCACAGCAGCAGTGTTCTGGAATCTTATGTGAGGGCAAACAGACCCCTGCAAACAGGGATAATTTGACCTCCTCTTTTCCTAATTGAATACCCTTTATTTCTTTCTCCTGCCTCATAGCCCTGGCCAGAACTTCCAACACTACGTTGAATAGGAGTGATGGGAAAGGGCATCCCTATCTTGTGCCTGTTTTCAAAGGCAATGCTTCCAGTTTTTGCCCATTCAGTATGATAATGTCTGAGTGTTTGTCATGAATAGCTCTTATTATTTTTACATACATCCCATCAATACCTAATTCATTGAGAGTTTTTAGCATGAAGGGCTGTTGAATTTTGTCAAAGGCCTTTTCTGCCTGTGTTGAGATAATCATGTGGTTTTTGTCTTTGGTTCTGTTTGCATGCTGGATTACGTTTATTGATTTGCATATATTGAACCAGCTTTGCATCCCAGGGATGAAGCCATCTTGATCATGGTGGATAAGCTTTTTGATGTGCTGCTGGATTCAGTTTGCCAGTACTTTATTGAGGATTTTTGCATCAATGTTCATCAGGGATATTGGTCTTAAATTCTTTTTTGGTTATGTCTTATCCAGGCTTTGGTATCAGGATGATGCTGGCCTCATAAAATGAGTTAGGGAGGATTCCCTCTTTTTCTCTTGATTGGAAGAGTTTCAGAAGGAATGGCAACTTCTCCTCCTTGTACCTCTGGTAGAATTAGGCTGTGATTCCCTCTTGTCCTGGACTTTTTATGGTTGGTATGCTATTATTGCCTCAATTTCAGAGCCTGTTATTGGTCTATTAAGAGATTCAACTTCTTCCTGGTTTAGTCTTGGGAGGGTTTATGTATTGAGGAATTTATCCATTTCTTCTAGATTTTCTAGTTTATTTGCATAGAGGTGTTTACGGTATTCTCTGATGGTAGTTTGCATTTCTGTGGGATTGGTGGTGCTATCCCCTTTATCATTTTTTAATGTGTCTATTTGATTCTTCTCTCTTTTCTTCTTTATTAGTCTTGCTAGTGGTCTATCAATTTTGTTGATCTTTTCAAAAAACCAGCTCCTGGATTCATTGATTCTTTGAAGGGTTTTTTGTCTCTATCTCCTTCAGTTGTGCTCTGATCTTAGTCATTTCTTGGAAGTCAAATTGTCCCTGTTTGCAGATGACATGTTTGTATATCTAGAAAACACCATCATCTCAGCCCAAAATCTCCTTAAGCTGGTAAGCAACTTCAGTGAGGTCTCAGGATACAAAATCAATGTGCAAAAATCACAAGCATTCTTATACAGCAATAACAGGCAAACTGAGAGCCAAATCATGAATGAACTCCCATTCACAGTTGCTTCAAAGAGAATAAATTACCTAGGAATCCAACTTACAAGGGACGTGAAGGAGCTCTTCAAGGAGAACTACAAAACACTGCTCAACAAAATAAAAGAGGACACAAACCAATGGAAGAGCATTCCATGCTTATGGATAGGAAGAATCAATATCGTGAAAATGTCCATACTGCCCAAGGTAATTTATAGATTCAATACCATCCCCATGAAGCTAACAATGATTTTCTTCACAGAATTGAAAAAAACCACTTTAAAGTTCATATGGAACCAAAAAAGAGCCCACATGGCCAAGTCAATCCTAAGCTAAAAGAACAAAGCTGGAGGCATCACGCTACCTGACTTCAAACTATACTACAAGACTACAGTAACCAAAGCAGCAAGGTACTGGTACCAAAACAGAGATATAGAGCAATGGAACAGAACAGAGCCCTCAGAAATAATACCACACATCTACAACTATCTGATCTTTGACAAACCTGACAAAAGAAATTGGGAAAGGATTCCCTATTTAACAAATGGTGCTGGGAAAACTGGCTAGACATATGTAGAAAGCTGAAACTGGATCCCTTCCTTACACCTTATACAAAAATTAATTCAAGATGGATTAAAGACTTAAATGTTAGACCTAAAACCATGAAAACCCGAGAAGAAAACCTAGGCAATACCATTCAGGACATAAGCATGGGCAAGGACTTCATGTCTTAAACAACAAAAGCAATGGCAACAAAAGCCAAAATTGACAAATGAGATCTAATTAAACTAAAGAGCTTCTGTGCAGCAAAAGGCATACCAGTGAACAGGCAACCTACAGAATGGGAGAAAATTTTTGCAATCTACTCATCTGACAAAGGGCTAATATCCAGAATCTACAAAGAACTCAAACAAATTTACAAGAAAAAACCCCATCAACAAGTGGGCGAAGGATATGAGCGGACACTTCTCAAAAGAAGACATTTATGCAGCCAACAGACACATGAAAAAATGATCATCATCACTCGCCATCAGAGAAATGCAAATCAAAATCACAATGAGATATCATCTCACACTAGTTAGAATGGCGATCATTTAAAAGTCAGAAAACAACATGTGCTAGAAAGGATGTGGAGAAATAGGAACACTTTTACACTGTTGGTGGGACTGTAAAGTAGTTCAACGATTGTGGAAGACAGTGTGGTGTTTCCTCAGGGATCTAGAGCTAGAAATACCGTTTGACCCAGCCGTCCAATTACTGGACATATACCCAACAGAATATAAGTCATGCTGCTATAAAGACACATGCACACGTATGTTTATTGTGACGTTACTCACAATAGCAAAGACTTGGAACCAACTGTAATATCCAAATGTCCAACAATGATAGACTGGATTAAGAAAATGTGGCACATATATGCCAGGGAATACTATGCAGCCTTAAAAAATGATGAGTTCATGTCCTTTGTAGGGACATTGATGAAGCTGGAAATCATCATTCTCAGCAAACTATCACAAGGACAAAAAAACAAACACCACATGTTCTCACTCATAGGCGGGAATTGAACAATGAGAACACATAGACACAGGAAGGGGAACATCACACACCATGGCCTGTTGTGGGGTAGGGGGAGGGGGGATAGCATTAGGAGATATACCTAAGGTAAATGACGAGTTACTGGGTGCAGCACACCAACATGGCACATGTATGCAAACATAACAAACCTGCACGTTGTGCACATGTATCCGAGAACTTAAAGTATAATAAATATATATATATATAAATAATTCAATACGGAAAATATAATTAAAAAAAGAAAGAAAATGTGGTATACTATTTGGCAGTAAATAAAGAAAACCCTGTCGTTTGTAAACAACATGGATGAACCTGGAGGGCAATATGTTAAGTGAAATAGGGCAGACACAAAAAGACAAATATATCATGACATGACTTCTACTGGTATGTTAAAAAGTTGATCTCATAGAATTACAAAGTACACTGGTGGGTATCAGAGCTAGGGGTAAAGGGGAGTTGCGGTGATGTTAATCAGAGGATACATACTTAGAGTTACACAGAAGGAATACATTTCAGGAGATGTATTGTAGAGCAAGGTGATTGTAATTGATGATGACACATTGTATTCTTGAGAAATAGAAAGTTAATATTATGTGTATTCATCACAAAAATGATAACTATGTGAGTTGATGTATTTGTTAAATAGCTAGATTTGACCTTTTCACAATGTATGCATACTTTGTCCTTCACATAGGATTCCAGAACGCTACTGCATTGGTCTGAATGTTTGTCCCTCACATTTTACATTACAAAAAACTTGCAATGTCTTATTAAAAATATTAATTAAAAATAAATATTAATAAAGTAATTTTAAATAGACAAAAAGTAAAAGAAAAAAAAAGACCACAGCAGCAGTGTTCTGGAATCCTGTGTGGGGGACAAACATTCAGAAGCCAGTAGCAGTGTTCTGGGATCCCATGTGATGGACAAACATTCAGACATTCCCAGCAGTGTTCTGGAATCCTATGTGTGGGACAAACACCCAGACCCCAGCAGCAGTGTTCTGGAATCCTATGTGAGGTACAAGCATTCAGACCCTGGAATCAGTGTTCTGGAATCCTATGTGAGGGAAAAACTTTCAGAACACAGCAGCCATGTTCTGGAGTCCTATATGACGGACATTCAGACCCTCATAGCAGTGTTCTGGAGTCTTATGTGAGGGACACGCATTCAGACCACATCAGGAGGGTTCTGGAATCCTATGTGAGGGACAAATAATCAGACCCTCATAGCAGTGTTCTGGAATCTTATGTGAGGGACAAACATTCAGACCCCAGCAGCAGTGTTCTGGAATCCTATGTGAGGGACAATCATCCAGATCATTGCGTTAGTGTTCTGGAATTCTAAGTGAGGGAAAAACATTCATAACCCAGCAGCAGTGTTTTGAAATGCTATGTGAGGGACAAACATTCAGACCCCAGCAGCAGTGTTCTGAAATCCTACGTGAGGGAGAAACATTCAGATCATTGCATTAGTGTTCTGCAATCCTATGTGAGGGACTAACACTCAGACCCCGGGAGCAGTGTTCTGGAATCTTATGTGAGGGCAAACATTCAGACCCCAGCAGCAGTGTTCTGGAATCCTATGTGAGGGACAAACATTCAGACCATGGCAGCAGTGTTCTAGAATCCTATGTAACGGACAAACATTCATAATCTCGTAGCAGTGTTCTGGAATCCTATGTGAGGGACAGACTTTTAGACCCTCACAACAATGTTCTGGAATCCTATGTGAGGGAGAAACATTCAGACCCTCGCAGCAGTGTTCTGGAGATCTATGTGAGGGACAAACATTCAGACCCCAGCAGCAGTGTTCTGGAATCCTATGTGAGGGACAAACATTCAGACCACGACAGCAGTGTTCTGGAGTCCTATGTAACGGACAAATATTCAGAACCTCATAGCAGTGATCTGGAATCCTATGTGAGGGACAAACTTTCAGACCCCAGCAGCAGTGTTATGGAATCTTATGTGAGGGACAAACATTCTGACCCTCTTATCAGTGTTCTGGTATTCTACGTGAGGGACAGACATTCAGACCCCAGCATCAGTGTTCTGGAATCCTGTGTGAGGGACAAACATTCAGACCCCAGGAGCAGTGTTCTGAAATCCTAGGTTAAGGATAAACATTCAGACCCCAGGAGCAGTGTTCTGAAATCCTAGGTTAAGGATAAACATTCAGACCCCAGCATCAATGTTATGGAATCCTTTATAAGGGACAAACATTCAGACCTTCATAGCAGTGTTCTGGAATCTTATGTAAGGGAGAAACATTCAGACCTCAGGAGCAGCGTTTTGGTACCATATGTGAGGGACAAACACGCAGGCCCCAGCAGCCGTGTTCTGGAATGCTATGATTGGGTTTATACTGTGAACCTCAGAAGTGTTCCTCTGTTTAATTAATTTTCCACCTTAGGTGGAACATGACTAGAATGGGCTACAGTGGAAGGGGTAATTTCCTTCCCCTATGTTATTTAGTCTCTGATTATACTAGAGCAGATTAGGCTGAAGTTAAGTAGTTTCTCCTGTGGACAAGCCTTGTTAAGAACTTGGTGCTCTGGCATATTTCAAACTGGTTTTCCTTTTTCCTTCTGAAAGATTGAAGCAGGAGTGGAGTTTCCTCAGGTATTTGTCACAGGAGCCTGGTGAAGCTCCATGAGACAATTTTACAGTATTGTTCCCCCTCCCCAACAGTAACTCTATCTCTTGTAGTTTTTACCACTTAGAGTTGTCCACGCAGATCCTCCAGCCGTTCACCAGTTACGGTTTGAGATTTTCTACTCCAGCACTGGTTCCAAGGTTGGTTTCAGTAGTGAGTCCATGTTCCTTTAAGCCATTAAGTACTATATTCACTTCTTTGTCTCTGCAATCCTAGGGGCAGTGGTTTGCCCTGTGTCCTCCCCTAAGTTTGAAATCTAGAAAGAATTGTTGATTTTTTAGTCTCTTCAGCTTTTTATTTGTTAAGATTAATTGTGTCATATTAATTTGTTGTTAAGCTTGTTATAAAAATTAATTATTGTAAAGTAATTATTGATTACTTCCAAGCTTCTTACATGCAGAAATAGGAACCTGGAATATGTTTCTAAAACTATCTTCTCAATGCCTATGTGCACAGTTAAATGATTTTTTTCCACAGGAATATGATCAAGATGAATTATATTAGACTTCTAAATATTGAACTTTTCTTTATTCGTGGAATAAACTCAGAAAGTTCCTTCTTGGTCTTCACAGTCTATTTCTCTTCCAGTGTAAATGTTAGTGTTTCTGTAGATTCTGTACTTGTTTCTTTTATTCTTTCCTTCTCTTATTTTCATTTGGTCTGATGGATTCAGGTAGCATTGAAATTCTGGTAATTTCCAAATCTTTATCTTTAGTTTGATCTCTCTTCTGAACCACTGGAGCTATATTCCCAATTGCCAGTTGAACATTCCCACATATGGAACGTCAGATGTTTCACACATGATATGTCCAGGTCTGTGTCACTTCTGGTTATCACATTCTTTTATTTTTTTTGCAAATTTCACTTCACAGCACCAGTACCAAACTAGCTGGATCAGGGCAGATAACTTGGAAACAAAACTCCCGTTTTTACCCACTGCACAGTAAATTGGTACCAAATCCTGTTTCTACATTTTTTTCCTTTTAAGAACTGCTTCCCTATTGTGTATACTTACACTCCGTGTCCTGATGTACTGATGTAGGTGGTCATCTGTCTTCTTCTTTACTCCCTTCTGGCTTTCCCTTAAGCCCTTTCCCATTCTCTTTCTCAGGGATGGCTGTTAAAATGCCAATATGGTCATGTAACTTTTCTGTCCTTACTGGGCCTCCTTATTTACACCTGTTTTTGAAGTGGCTGTGTTCACACTGGGTGGATACAGCAATTTTTTGTCCCGTAGAAAGGAAATTTTGAAATGCCAGTGTATATGATTTTAATTAAGTATACTCACCCTTTTGTTTCCATGGGTTTTGCATCTGCAGATTCAGCCAACTTCAGATTGAAAATATTCCCACAAAAATAGATGGTTGTCTCTGTGCAGAGCATCTACAGAAATTTTTCTTGTCATTATTTCCTAAACAGTACAGTATAACAGCTATTTATGTAGCATTATATTGTCTTCAGTATTATATGTAATCTAAAGATTTTAAGTTCAGTCGTGCATGGCTTACTGATGGGATTACTTTCTGAGAAATGCAACCTTAGGTAATTTCATTGTTTTGTGAACATCATAGTGTTACAAAAACCTACATGGTATGTATATTTTTATTTATATGTTTTTGGTATATGGGTAACCAGATGGCTCAGAGCCATTATTGAATATCATTTTCTGCACTTCATCTGCAATGCCAATATCAGGTTTCCGTGTATGTTTCATCATCATCTTATGGGACTACTGTGATAGACATGTTTCATCATTGACTGAAATGTTATTATGCAGCTCATGACTGTATACAGGAGTATGTGCATAAGTTATATGTAAATATGAGACTTGTTTATATAACAGAGTTATCCAATCTGTGGATTTTGGTATCTGGGGGTATCTTGGAATCAGTCCCCATGGATACTGAGGAAGTAATGTAATGTAAAAATGATAGGTGCATAAAAATTTTTGAAATTAAGTCAAATATTTAAATGCAGAATCATTGCATAATCAATTCCTTAAATATTGCATTTAGCTTTCATCACTGCCCAGGATCATTCATCTAGGCATGGTGCTGTCCAGAGTTCCATTAAAGTGGTGTGTGTTCGCTTTGCCTTTGTCAGTAGACTTCTGATATTTTCTCATAGTCATGAGAATTCATGGTTCATGTGGAAGAGCCAATCACCTGATTTTTCAGTAAAGTGGAATCTCTTGATTCAAAATAAACAAAATTTATTTTCTCCTTCTCTCTTATCTTAGTCTGCATTGAACTTGTGTCTCAATGAGTTCACCTAAACATTATTCCCAGTATGTGTTTATACTTATATGTTCATAACCAGATCATGAGCTCCTTTGAGGAGTAGAATTTTATTCCTCTTTTTTTTTGAGAGATAGGCTCTCTGTTGGCCAGGCTGGAGTGCAGTGGTGTGATCATCACTCACTGCACTGTCAAACTCCTGGGTTTGAGCAATCCTTCAGCCTCAGCTTCCAGAGTAGCCAGGACTACAGGCATCCAGCATTATGCCTATATTTTTTTATTATTTTTGAAGAGAGAGGGTCTTGCATTTTGTTTATACTTTTATCCCTAGCAACAAGGGTGGTTCTAGATCTATAAGGTGAACTTTGTAATATAATTTTATTAATTCATAAGTTATTACAGTGGAAGCATATTTCTACTGTGATTACTCCTTCTCCCACCATAAACAGTACAAAACAAACTACGTCTTATATAAAATACATATAAGACACATGGACACACAAAAGAGTGAATTCCCAGATTCTTGTTCTTTTGACCCTGGGCTGATGCTTTGACTTGAGGAAATATGTGCCATTACAGGGGTTGGTGTCCTTTGAAGATGTGGCTCTGCACTTCACCTGGGAGGAGTGTCAGGGCCTGGATGATGCTCAGAGGACCCTCTACAGGGACGTGATTGTGGAGACCTACAGCAGCCTGGTATCATTGGGTGAGTGAAACTTCCCAGTAACTCCCAGGAATGTGTATTGTTGTTGGTAAATATAGAAACCCTTTTAAGGTATAATAATATTTACTTGTAAGATTCTGGTTGATGAAAAATGTGTCATTATTCTAATGAAATGTTCAAATTGGCTCCTTCATTACACAGTCCCTGAAGCCCAGCTCTTGTCATTCTGAAAAGGATTTGACTTAGTGGTTTGACAAAGTATTCCATTGTTTCTCGTTACCAGGGCATTGCATTACCAAACCTGAGATGATCTTCAAGCTAGAGCAAGGAGCAGAGACATGGATAGTAGAAGAAATACCAAACCTGAGACTTTCAGGTCAGTCAGTGAATACAGGGTTGGGAGGCCTGGAGGAGTAATGCCCAGCAGATTTTGGTAGTGTTATCTTGTTTTCACCACTTTTTTCCCTAGGTCTTCGACCTGAAGACTGTTAGTCTGCATTAAATGTCCATTATATAGTCCCCAGGGGTAACTGTCATGCATATATCCCAGTCTCTTATTTTTCTGAGTATCTTCTTCTATTTACCCCAAATCCAATCCCTGCCATCCTCTCTTTAAGCCTTTTTCTTTGCTATTTATTTTCTCTATTTCCCCCTTTTCCTCTATTCTGATGTAGTGTCTTAAAAAAATTTTTTAGACATTTATGCATTTATTTATCCTTTGAATGTATCTTAAGCAATTTTTGAGAATCAGTCATTATAACAATGATGATGAAAATAGTGTTTCTTTTTTAAGCTGTAGCTTTATTCTTCTTGTTTTATTTTTTATTAAACAGATGGTTCTCACTCTGTTTCTCAGACTCAAGTGCAGTGGCATGATTATAGTTGACTGTAACGATGAACTCCTGGGATCAAGTGTTCCTCACAGCCTAGCCTCCCAAGTAGCTAGGACTACAGGTGTGTGCCACCACACCTGGCTAATTTTTTATTGTTTGTGGAGATGAGGTCTTGTTCTATTGCCCAGACTGGTCTCGAACTTCTGGCCTTAATTGATCCTTGTAGACTCCCACCTACACACACACACACAAAATAGTAGCTGAGTATGGTGACATGGGTTTTTAATCCCAGTTTTTATACTTGGGAGGCTGAGGTGGAAGGATTGCTTGAGCTCAGGAGCTTGAAGCTTCAGTGACCTATGATAGCAACACTGCACTCCAGCCTGGGTAACAGAGTAAGATCCTGTCTCAGAAAGAAATTATGAAGCTGAGGAGAACCCATCATGGGGCTTGGATAGGGGTGGTGCTGGACTTGGGAGGAGAACCAGAAGATTCTGGGTCTCAAGTCCAAAGAAACCAATGATTTCCTGTTGAAGGGCTCAGATTTCTGTTTGAGAGTGGAGTTTGTAGTTACCATTTGAAGATGAGAAATGTACAGGAAACTTCATTTTTATATATAGCTGTGTGACATCTGAAACTCCAAAACACAAAATAAAACCCTTCAAAAATGGTGAATTATCAAGCAGGGGTGTGTGAGTGGAGAGGGACAGAGCTGTTGATCTCAGAAGGAACCAGAAATACACTTTTCAAAGATGACGGGCACAGCCTGAGTTGCAGAACCAATCCTTCAGATCACTAGTGTGGTTTTTTGACTGGAGCTTCTTTGCCTATTATGGTTCTGGGAAGCAGGAGATGCCATGTTTAAGTAGGAATTTGCCAGGATCTGTTTTTGTTTAACATGGGGAATAAGATATTTTCTGCTTGGAAAACCTCCAGACACATTTAACCATTCTCAGGGAGGAGTGAAAAGTTAACATATAGGCAAAATCCTGTCTACAAGCTACTTCCATGCTTAGGAGACAGAAAAATGGCCATCTCCTGTACCTGCCAGTTGCTGACCCAAGAAAAACTGGCTATCTTCAAAGAAGAATGATGAAAAAATAGCAACTATTAAAACAGCCACTATTGTTATATGAATAAATAGAAAAAAAGAGAGAAAACAAATGACAGATAATGAGCACTTATTAAAACCTATGAGTAGGAAGTAGATGCATATTATTACCAAATAATTCTTTGTGAAATAAAAAAGAAAAGGAAAACTTCAAAATGCAAAGAAAAACTCAATTGAACATTAGAAAATATACTGATTTATTACATGATGTCAGAAGGAACAGGAACCATATGCATATAAAACCAATACCCATTATTAATTTTTATCAAATCTTACTCCACTGGGATAGAAAGTAATTTTTTTCACCTTTACACAAGCATTCTGTAAGACATGCTCCTGTGTGGTTCATGGATACGTTTTTCTCATTTCAGCTGTCCAGATCACTGATGACCTTATTGAAAGGAGCCATGAAAGTCATGATAGATTTTTCTGGCAAATTGTAATCACCAACAGCAAGACATCAACTCAGGAGAGAGTTGAATTAGGAAAAAGATTTAATTTTAACTCAAACCATGTTTTAAATCTGATTATAAATAATGGAAACAGTTCAGGAGTGAAGCCTGGGCAGTTTAATGTTTGCCAGAACGTGCTTTTACCTATTAAGCCTGGTGAGACACAGTCTAGAGAGAAACCTCATATCCCTGATATAACCAGGAGATCCCACAGACATCATGAACATCTTACTCAGCATCACAAGATTCAAACTCTGCTGCAGCCTTTTCAATGTAATGAACAAGGGAAAACCTTCAACATGGAGGCAATGTTCTTTATACATAAGAGGGTTCATATAGGACAGACCTTTGGTAAATATAATGAATATGAGAAAGCCTGTAATAACTCAGCTATTATTGTCCAAGGGATAACTCAGGTAAGACAGCCAACTTGCTGTAGAAAGTCTGACTTCAGTAAACATCAGCAAACACACACAGGAGAGAAACCCCATGAATGTGTTGAATGTGAGAAACCCTCCATTAGCAAATCAGACCTCATGATACAGCACAAGATGCCTACTGAGGAAAAACCTTATGCCTGTAACTGGTGTGAAAAATTGTTCAGCTATAAGTCCAGCCTCACTATCCATCAGAGAATTCACACAGGGGAAAAGCCCTATGGATGCAATGAATGTGGAAAAACCGTTCGCTGTAAGTCATTCCTCACTTTACATCAGAGAACTCACACTGGGGATAAGCCCTACAAATGTATTGAATGTGGAAAAACTTCACTGTAAATCACTTCTCACTTTACATCACAGAACTCACTCAGGGGAAAAGCCCTATCAGTGTAGTGAATGTGGAAAAACCTTTAGCCAGAAGTCATACCTCACAATACATCATAGAACTCACACCTGGCAAAAGCCCTATGCATGTGACCATTGTGAAAAAGCATTTAACCATAAGTCAAAGCTTACTGTCCATCAGAGAACACACACAGGGGAAAAGCCCTATGAATGTAATGAGTGTAGAAAACCCTTTATCAATAAGTCAAACCTCAGGATACATCAGAGAACTCACATTAGAAAAACCCTATGAATGCAATGAATGTGGGAAAACGTTTCACCAAAAGTCGTTCCTCACTGTCCATCAAAGGACTCACAAAGGCGAAAAACCCTACGAATGCAACGAACGTGGGAAAACCTTTCACCATATGTCATTCCTCACTGTCCATCAGAGAACTCATACTGGGGAAAAAACATATGCATGTAACAAATGTGGAAAAACGTATAGCCACAAGTCATAACTTACAGTACCTCACAGAACTCACACAGGGGAAAAACCCTATGAAAGTAATGAATGTGGAAAATCCTTTTACTGTAAGTTATAAGTCATTTCTAACTATACATCAGAGAACTCATGCTAGCAAAAAACCCTATGAATGTAATGAATGTGAGAAAACCTTTATCAATAAGTTAAACCTTGGGATACACAAGAGAACTCACACAGGGGAAAGACTCAATTAATGTAATGAATGTGGGAAAACCGTTCGTCAGAAGTCAAATCTCAGCACACATCAGGGAACTCACACAGGGGAGAAACCTTACGTATGAAATGAATGTGGAAAAACCTTTCATCGCAAGTCATTCCTCACCGTACACCAGAGAACTCACACAGGGGAGAAACAGTATGGATGTAACCAATGTGGAAAAACTTTTTGTCAGAAATCATACCTTATTATACATCAGAGAACACACACTGGGGAAAAGCCCTATGAATGTAATGAATGTGGAAAATCCTTTCATCAGAAGGCAAATCTTCGGAAGCATCCAGATATTCACACAGGGGAGAAACCCTATGAATGTAGCGAATGTGGAAAAACCTTCAGTCAGAAGTCAGTCCTCACTGTCCATCATAGAACCCATACTGGAGAAAAGCCTTACGAATGTAATGAGTGTGTGAAAACCTTTTGTCACAAGTCAAACCTCAATATGCATCAGGGAATTCACTCAAGAGAGAAACCCTGTGAATGTGATGAATGTAGGAAAACTTTTTACCATAAGGCAGTTCTCACCATACATCAGAGAATTCACACAGGTGAGAAGACATTTGAATGTAAGAAAACCTTCTCCCAGGAGTCAAAACCCTTTGTACAGCACAGAACTCACACAGAGGAAAAACCCTTTAGATGTAATGAATGTAGGAAAATTTTCTCCCAGAAGTCAGGCCTCAGTATACATCAGAGAACACACACAGGAGAAAAACCTTATGAATGTAAGGAATGTGGGAAAACCTTTTGCCAGAAGTCACACCTCAGCAGGCATCAACAAACCCATATAGGAGAGAAATCTGATGTAGCTGAGGCAGGCTATGCATTCCCTCAAAATCACTTTTTTTTTCCCTTGAACACACAATGTACACCTCTCTGGCTACTATTATAGATTTCTCCATGCTCAGTCTAGGAGAATATGGACAAAAATGGTGACCATTACTTCCTGGCCTACCAACAAGAAGGTCTTAACAATGCTGTAACAGAAGTGCTATCATGCAGGCTTTCTTGTTCCCATTTTTACAGCACACTTCGCACTTTAATGTCACAGATATGGCTGTTTTCCTAGAAGTTCATGTACCAACCTCTGCCAGCTTCAAACATTTCTTCTGAAACTTCCTCACCTCTGTTCTCCTCCATAGAATTGAAGAGAGTTAGGGCCTTTCTCAGGATTAGGCTTTGTCTCAGGGGAATGTTGGGGCTGGTTTGATCTTCTATGCAGACCACTCAGACTTTCTCTGTGTCAGTAAAAAGGCTGTTTTGTTTTTTAAAAATCATTCATGTGTTCACTGGAGTAGCACCTATAACTTCCTTCAAGAACTTTTTCTTTGCATTCACAACTTGGGTAGCTCATGCAAGAAGCTTAGCTTTGGCCTGTCTTAGCTTCCAACATGCTTTCTTCACTAAGCTTGATAATTTGAAGTGACAGATGTGCACACTTCTTTTCACTTGAACACATGGTGGCCACTGCAGGGTGAAGTGGCCTAATTTCATTGTTGTATCTCGGGGAATGGGGGGCTGGAAGAGAGAAATGGAGATAGGGAAATGACTAGCCAATGAAGCAGTCAAACACAACACTTTTCCATCGTGTTTACTGTCTTCCATAGAGTTCCAGCACACTGAGACAATTCCAATAGTAACATCAGAAATCACTGATCACAGATCATCATAACGGATGTGATAACTAAAATGTTTGAAAGATTGTGGGGATTGCCAAAAGATGTGACACAGATGTGAAGTGAGCACACGGTGTTGGAAAAATGGTGCTGGTCAGACTTGCTGAGCACTTTGTGGCCACAAATCTTTAATTTGTTAAAAAGGTGATGTTGCCAAGCAAAATAAAGTGAAGCTCGATAAAGTGAGGTGTGCCTTTATTTTGATGGGCTTTAACAACTTGTCTTTTCATTGGTGCATTTAGACCATGACATTCAAAGTGATTATACAGTTGGGTTAATTTTGCCATATCATTTTCCATTCACTCCTATTGTTCTTTGTTCTTGCTTTGTCCTCCACTCTTTTTCTGCCTTTTATGGAGTTTATGATTTTATATGATTTTTATTTCCCCTCATTACTTTTTTTTTTAAATTGAGACAGCATTCACCCAGGCTGGAGTGCAGTCGTGTGGTCATGGCTCCCTGCAGACTCAACCTCGTGGGTTTAAGTGATCTTTCCACCTCAGCCTCCCAACTAGCTAGGACTACAAGTATGCAATTAACTAGGACTACAAGTATGCAATTAACTAGGACTACAAATATGCAATTAACTAGGACTACAAGTATGCAATTAACTAGGACTACAAGTATGCAATTAGGTAGGACTACAAGTAAGTCATTAGCTAAGACTACAAGTATGCAATTAGCTAGGACTACAAGTATGCACCACAATACCTGGCCTTTTCTGTAGGGACAGGGTCTCACTGTGTTGCTCAGGATAGTCTCTAACTCCTGGACTCAAGCCATCTTTCTACCTTGGCATAAGCCACTATACCTGGCCTGTTTCCTCTTTTTGGTATTTTTATACTTTGGTTTTTACTAGTTGCCCTGGAGTTTGCAGTATAGACTTGCAACAAATCCAAGTCCACCTTCAAATAACACTATACTAGTTCAGTTACTTTGACGGCCTTCTAATAGAAATGTAATACCAGCTTCTCTCATATTCCCATCTCTTGTGTTATTGTTGCTATTTGTTTCACTTATATGTAAGCATACATAGCCTTGTATATATTAAAGTATGTAATTGGCTGGGTACCTTGGCTCACGCCTGTAATCCCAACACTTTGGGAGGCTGAGGCAGGTGGACCATGAGGTCAGGAGATGGAGACCCTCCTTGCTAACACAGTGAAACCCCATCTCTACTAAAAATACAAAAATTAGCTGGACATGGTGGCACACGCATGTAGTCCCAGCTATTCAGGAGGCTGAGACAGGAGAATTGCTTGAACCAGGGAGGAGGTGGAGGTTGCAGTGAGCTGAGATTGCACCACTGCACTCCAGCCTGGGCGACAGAGCAAGACTCCGTCTGAAAAAAAAGTATATAATTGCATACATTGTTATTATATACAAACTGTTATATGTTAGGTGAATTAAGAATAAAAAGTAAGCAGCCGGATACGGTGGCTTATGCCTGTAATCCCAGCACTTTGGGAGGCCGAGGTGGGCAGATCACAAGGTCAGAAGACTGAGACCATCCTAGCTAACATGGTGAAATCCTGTGTTTACTAAAAACACGAAAACAAAATTAGCCAGGCGTGGTGGTGGGTGCCTGTAGTCCCAGCTACTCGGGAGGCTGAGGCAGGAGAATAGCATGAACCTAGAAGGCAGAGCTTGCAGTGAGCCAAGATCACACTACTGCACTTCAGCCTGGGTGACAGAATGAGACTCCATCTCAAAAAAAAAAAAAAAAGGGATTTTACCACCACTTATTCCTTCTCTAATGTTCTTTTTAAAATGTAAATTCAGGCGGGTGTAGTGGCTCACACCTGTAATCCCAGCACTTTGGGAGGTCGAGATGTGTGGATCACGAGGTTAGGAGTTCAAGACCAGCCTAGCAGAGATGGTGAAACACTGTCTCCAATAAAAATACAAAAAAAATAGCCAGGCGTGGTGGAGGGCTCCTGTAATCCCAGCTACTTGGGGGGCTGAGGCAGAGAATTGCTTGAACCTGGGAGGCTGAGGTTGCAGTGAGCCGAGATTGTGCCACTGCACTCCAGCCTGGGCAACAGAGCGAGACTCAGTCTCAAAATAAATAAATAAAAATAAATGAAATGTAGATTCAGTTTTCAGATGTGTATCTTTTTTTTGTCTAGATAATGTTTAACATATTCTCACATAACACATTTCCTGGTAACAAGTTTCCTCAACTTTTGTTTGTCCAAGGAATGCTTTATTTCTCATTTACTTTTGAAAGAAGATCTCACAGGGCACTGAAATCTAATTTGATTTTTTTTCTCTCAGCATGCTTAATATTTCATTCCACTCTCTTTACTTTCATGGTTCTGAGATGTTGAATGTAATTTTTTTTTTGAGGCGGAGTCTCACTCTGTCACCCAGGCTGGAGTGCAGTGGTGTAATCTCGGCTCACTGCAAGTTCTGCCTCCCAGGTTCACACCATTCTCCTGCCTCAGTCTCCCGAGTAGCTAGGACTACAGGCTCCTGCCACCACGCCTGGCTAATTTTTTGTATTTTTTGTGGAGATAGGGTTTCACCATGTTAGCCAGGATGGTCTCAATCTTCTGACCTCGTGATCCACCCAACTTGGCCTCCCACAGTACTGGGATTACAGGCATGAGCCACAAAGCCTGGCCTGAATGTGATTTTTGTTTGTTTGTCTACAGGTTTCTTTGTTTCTCTACCTTTGTTTCTTTGTTTCTCTACCTTTGTTTCTTTGTTTCTCTATAGGTAAGATGTTGTCCACTCCACCTTTGGTCTCTTTTGGAGTTGATGTTTTATACAGTTGGAGAATAATATGCCTAGGTGTAGGTTTTTAGCATGTACACTGTCTGGAGTGCTCTGAGCTTCCTGGATCTTTGATTTGGTGTCTGACATTAACAGTGGAAGTTGTCAAACATGATTGTTGCTGATGTTTCTTCTATTTCTCTCTCCTCCTTCTGGTATTCTCGTCACTCTATGTTACACCTTTTATAGCTGTCCCACTGTTCTTGGATATTATGTTCCATTGTTTTCAGTTTTTAAAGTTTCTTTCACAATTCCAGAGCTCACAGACTCTTTCCTTTGTTGTGTTCAGCCTACTAGTAAGCCAATCAAGGCAACAGGTCTGTTGCATTATTTTTTTATCTCTACTGTTTCTTTTTTGTTCTTTCCTTGGACTTCTGTCTCCCTGCTTACATTGCCTATCTGTTCTTGAATGCTGTCTCCTTTGTTCATCAGAGCCCTTAGCATACTACTTAGAGATATTTTTAAAAATCCCTGTCTGATAATTCCAGCATCATAGCTATGTCTTGTTCTGATGATCTGTCACTTCAAATTGTGATTTTTGCCTTTTAGTATGCCTTGTGCTTTTTCTTTACTCCTAGATATGAGATACCAGGTAAAAGGAACTACTGTAACAGTGCATCCTGTAATGATAAGAAGCTATAGAGGGGAGGGGAAGCTGTCTTAGTCCATCCACCAGCATAACTTAGAGCAAGTAATTTCTAAACAACAGAAATTTGTTGCTCAGTTTGGAAGCTAGAAAGTCCAAAGTCAAGGTTCCAAGAGATTCAGTGTTTGATGTGACTCATTCCTCATAGATGGTGCCAGCTATATGTCCTCTCATGTTGGAATGGACAAAGAAGCTTCCTTTGGCCTCTTTCATAAGTGCACTAATCCCAATCAGGATGGCTTTGCCATTACATTTCAAAGGCCCCACCCCTTAATTCTAGTGCATTGGAGACTTGGTTTCAACGGGCACATTTTGCAGGGGGTCGGGCAGGAAACAAATATTCAGACCATAGCAGAAGTGTTCTGGAGTCTTACGATTGGGCCTCATTGTTTAAGTGAGTCTCTGCTTTTGGACTATGAACTTCACATGTGTTTCTCTGTTTTTATCTTCCCCTTTAGGGATGAGTGTAGTAGGCTGGAGTTCGTTATTTCCCTTCCAGCAAGTCATTTAGGATCTGATTATATGAGAGCAAGTTAGGCTGAGGTTCAGTAATTTCTCCTGAGGACAAGCCTTGTTAAGAACAGGGTGCTCTGGCATATTTTAGGATGGTTTTCCTTTTTCCTTCCCAAAGGTGGAAGCAGGAAGCGAGTTTTCTCAGGTGTTTGCCACAGGAGCCTGGTGAAGCTCCAGGAGGTAAATTTTACAATATTATGCTCCCTCATACCTGGATATCCCTGGCGTTTTTACCTCCCTGTGTTGTCCATATGGAACCTTCAGCAATTCACCAGTTATTGTTCAAGATTTTCTACTCCAGCACTGGTTCCTAAGGTGGTTTCAGTAGTGAGTCTCTGTTCCTGTAAGCCATAAATTCCTATATTCACTTCTCTATGTCTCCAATCTTGGGGGCAGTGGCTTGCCCTATGTCCTCTCTTCACTTTCAAATCCAAAAAGGATTGTAGATTTTTCAGTCTCTTCAGCTTTTATTTGTTTTATTAAAAAAAAAAATTTTAGAGTTGGGGGTCTCACTATGTTGCCCAGGCTGGTCTCAAACTCCTAGACTCAAGGGAACCTCCTGCTTTGGCCTCCCAAAGTGCTGGGATGATAGGCATGAGCCACCACACCTGACCTTTTCAGCTTTTCATGTGTTAAGATGGACTGATTACTTCCATTCTTTTTTTTTTTCCTTTTTTTGAGATGGAGTCTCACCTTGTTGCTCAGGCTGGAGTGCAGTCGTGCAATCTCAGTTCACTGCAACATCTGGCTCCCAGGTTCAAGTGATTCTCCCTGCCTCAGCCTCCTGAGTAGCTGGGATTACAGGCACCTACCACCATGCTGGCTAATTTTTGTATTATTATTATTTTATTTTTTAATTTTTTGAGGCAGAGCTCACTCTGTCACCCAGGCTGTAGTACAGTGGCTTGATCTTGGCTTACTGCAACCTCCACCTCCCAGGTTTAAGCAATTATTCTGCCTCAGCCTCCCAAGTAGCTGGTACTACTGGCAAACACCACCAAACTTCGATAATTTTTGTATTTTTAGTAGAGGTTTGGTTTTGCCATGTTGGTCAGGTTGGTCTCAAACTCCTGATTTCAGGTGATCCACCCACCTCAAGCTCCCAAAGTGCTGGGGTTACAGGTGTGAGCCTCTGCGCCCAGCCTAATTTTTTTTATTTTTAGTAGAGATGGGGGTTTGCCATGTTGACCAGGCTGGTCTTGAACTTCTGACTTCAGGTGATCTGCCCACCTTGGTCTCCCAAAGTGCTGGGATTACAGGCATGAGCCACTGCACCTGGCCACTTCTAAGCTTCTTACATGCAGAAATCAGAACCTGGAATCTGTTTCTAAGACTTTTCTTCTTAATGC
This sequence comes from Homo sapiens, assembly GCF_000001405.40. Classification (NCBI taxonomy): domain Eukaryota; kingdom Metazoa; phylum Chordata; class Mammalia; order Primates; family Hominidae; genus Homo; species Homo sapiens. The sequence goes on from NT_187363.1 coordinate 108,865, forward strand.
CTGTGTGGACAATTAAAGGATTTTTCTCCTCAGGACTCTGAATATGATGAATTGTATTAGTAGACTTTCTAATATTGAGCTTTTCTTAATTTGTGAAATAAACTCAGAAAAGTCCTTCTTGGTCTTAACAGTTTATTTCTCTTTGTAAATATTAGGGATTCTGTGGATTCTGTACTTGTTCCTTTTTATCCTTTCATTCTCTTAGGTTCATTTGGTCTGATGGATTCAGGTACCATTGAAATTCTGATAGTTTGAAAATCTTTATCTCCAGCTTTGATCTATCTTGTGAACTCTGGAACTGTATTCCCAATTGCCAGTTGGGCATCCCTACATATGGGACCTCAGATATTTCCAACATGACGTGTCCAAGTCTGTATCACTTCTGGCCATCATATTGTTCTTTTATTTTTCCAAATTTCACATCACCAGTAACAAACTAGCTGTAATCATGGCAGATAGCCTGGAAATAAAACTCCCCTTTTTACCCTCTGCACAGCAAATTGACATCAAATCCTGTTTCTCCTTGTTTTCCTTTTAACTATTGCTTCCCTATTCTGTATTCTCACTCCTCCATCTTCTGATGTAGGAGGTCATCTGTCTTTCTCTTTTCCTCTCCTCTGACTCTTAAGCCCTTTCCCATTCTCTTTCTCAGGAATGGCTGTTAAAATGCCAATATGGTCATGTAACTTTCCTGTACTTAGTGAACCTCCTTATTTACACCCTGTTTGTGAAGAGGCTGTGTTCACCCTGGGTGGACACAGAATGTTTTTGGCATGTACAAAGAGAATTTTATGCTGCCTGTGTAGAGCTACTAATTTGTAAGTACACTCAGCTTTTTGTATCTGTAGGTTTAATATCTGTGTATGTAAACAAACTTGGATGCAAAATATTTGAAATAAAATCAGACGCTTGCATCTGTAGTGAACATATTCAGACTTTTTCTTGTCATTACTTGCTAAACAACACAACTATTTACATCCACATTGTATTTGGTCTTCTAAGTGTGAAAGGAAAATAAAGATTGGGACTGCAACTCATTAAGCTAAAGGGAAAAGTCAAGCTGGGAACTCAGTCATGCAAACCTGCCTCCTCCTTTTGGTTCCTAAATAAGATGGCTACAAGACAAAAAGCTCATATTTTTCCCACAAGGAAATTTCTGGTGTGCTTTAAGATCTTTAAAGTGTTTCTGTTAAAATTCATCATGGCAATGTAAATCAATAGCTTATCCTTTTTATTCTTTTTTTTTTGAGATAGAGTTTCACTATTGTCACCCAGGCTGGAGTGCAATGGCACAATCTCGGCTCACCGCTACCTCTGCCTCCCGGGTTCAAGTGATTCTCCTGCCTCAGCCTCCTGTGTAGTTGGGATTACAGGCATGAACCACCACACTTGGCTAATTTTGTATTTTTAGTAGAGACGGGGTTTCTCCATGTTGGTCAGGCTGGTCTTGAACTCCTGACCTCAGGTGATCCACCCACCTCAGCCTCTTAGAGTGCTGGGATTACAGATGTGAGCTGCTGTGCCTGGTCTGATATCTCATCTTTACAATGCATAGGACAGAACTCAGAGTCATCCCTCTGCCCACCTGACACAAATGCATATCTGATTGTTCCCCTCCATGTTTGTCTATGTTATGTATAAATGCAGATTCACTGAGCCAAAGGCATGAATGACTGTATCAATCTGTTCTCACCCCTCTGCCCACCTGACACACATGCATATCTGATTGTTCCCCTCCCTGTTTGTCTATGTTATGTATAAACGCAGATTCACTGAGCCAAAGACATGGATGACTGTATCAGTCTATTCTCACCCCTCTGCCCTCCTGACACAAATGCATATCTGATTGTTCCCCCTCCCTGTTTGTCTATGTTATGTATAAATGCAGATTCACTGAGACAAAGGCATGAATGACTGTATCAGTCTTTTCTCATACTGCTCTGAAGAAATACTCAAGACTGGGTCATTTGTAAAGGAAAGAGGTTTAATTGACTCACAGCTCTGCATGGCTGGGGAGGCCTCAGGAAACTTACAATAATGGCAGAGAGCACCTCTTCACAGGGGGGCAGGAGAGACAATGAGTGCAAGCACGGGAAATGCCAGACACTTACAAAACCATCAGATCTCATGTGACTCATTATCATGAGAACAGCAAAGAGGAAACTGCCCTGATGATCCAATTACTTCCACCTGGTCCCACCCTTGACACATGAGGATTATTACAATTTATGGTGAGATTTGTGTGGGGACACAGAGCCAAACCATATCAATGAATGTTTTCCCCCTACCCCAATCTTACATGAAAACTGTATTTCTCAATATTTCACCCTTTCCCCTTTAAATTTGGAGCCCTCATAATCATTTTTGAAGAAAGGCATAGACCTGTCTCCTGGGTGTGCATCCTTAACGTTAGCAAATAAACCTCTTAAAATGATCGAGATTTGTCTCAGTTGTGTTTCCTGATTGACCGAAGTGTTCCAGAGATGATATAAAGTACAGTCATGCATGGCTTAATGACATGTGTATGTTCTGAGACATGCATTACTAAGCAATATTTTTGTTTTGTGAACATCATAAAGTGTACTTACATAACCCTAGATGGTATATATGTTTATATTTTTTCATGTGAGAAACCATATGTTCTAGCACCGTCATTGAATATCAGTCACTTTCCCTACTTGATCTGCAGTGCTAGTATCAAGTCCCACATATCAGGTTTTATCGGGGGAACCAGCCCCCAATATTTCAACGTAGGTTCTTTCTATTTTCCCTAAGTGTTGGCTGGTCTGAGAAATAAAGGGTACAAAGAAAGAAATTTTACATCTAGGCCTCTGGGGGTGTCATCACATTGGTAGGACCATGATGGTGACCTTGAGCTGCAAAACCAGCCAGTTTTTATTAGGGATTTTGAAAAGGGAGGGGGTTTACGAACAGGGAGTAGGTCACAAGGGTCACATGCTTCAAAGGGCCATAAAGATCACAAGGTGAAGGCAAAATTAGAACCACTGATGAGGGTCTGTGTCCCACTGTGCACACATTGTCTTGATAAACATCTTAACAGGAAACAAGGTTCAAGAGCAGAGACCAGTCTGACTAGAATTCACCAGGCTGGAATTTCCCAATCCTAGCAAGCCTGAGGGTACTGCAGGAGACCAGGGTGTATTTCAGTCCTTATTTCAACTGCATAAGACAGATACTCCCGGAGCGGCCATCTATAGACCTACCCCCGGGAATGCATTCCTTTCCCAGGGTATTAATTATTAATATTCCTTGCTGAGAAAAGAATTCAGTGATATTCTCTTATTCACACGTCCATCTATAGGCTCTCTGCAAGAAGAAAAATATGGCTGTATTCTGCCCGACCCCGCAGGCAGTCAGAACTTATGGTTATCTTCCCTTGTTCCCTGAAAATCGCTGTTATTCTGTTCTTTTTCAGGGTGCACTGATTTCATATTGTTCAAACACCCATGTTTTACACTCAGATTTGATATTGTTTGAACACACGTTTTACAAACAATTTGTACACTTAACGCAATCATCACAGGGTCTTGAGGTGACATACATCCTCAGCTTATGAAGATGATGGGATTAGATTAAAGTAAGACAGGGATAAGAAATTATAAAAGTATTAATTATAAAAGTATTAATAAATGTCCATGAAATCTTCACAATTTATGTTCTTCTGACACGGTTCCCACCATTCCCTCCATTCGGGATCTCTGACTTCCTGCAAGAAGGTTTCTATATGTGTTTATAATCTTAAGGGGCCATGGTAATATACATGGTTCATTATTGATTAAAAGGTCATTATGGGGCACATGACTGCATATGGAAGGATAAGCATGGGTTATATGCAAATATACCATTTTATATAAGACTTGAGCATCAGTGGATTTTGGTATCTGTGGGGGTATTCTGGAGCTGATTTCCCATGGATACTGAGGAACAACTGTACTTTGAAAATGAAAGGTGTGTGCATTTTTGTCATTAAAATTAGGTCAAATATTTAAATGCAGAATCACTGCATAATCAGTTCCTTCAAGACTGCGTCTATCTCTCTCATCAAGGCCCAGGATCTTTTATCTAGATACACTGCAGTGTGTCATTCCATTAACATGGTGTGTCTTCTTTGTGTCCTTGGGACTGGACTTCAGCTACACCTCATAGTTGTGAGATGGTGTGGTTCACATGGAAGTGCTAAACAACTTTGTTTTTTCAGTGAAGTGCAACCTCATAATACTGTGCATCACCATGCCTGGCTAGTTTTTCTATTTTTTGTAGAGACAGGGTTTCACCATGTTGCTCAGTCAGGTCTTGAACTCATGAGCCCAAGGGATCCACCTGCCTCAACCTCCCAAAGTGCTGGAATTACAGGCATGAGCCACTGTACCTGTCCTAACAAACCATTTGAACTACAGGTGAAGCGAAGTCTCTCTCTCTGATATTTGGTCTTCTTTTTACAACTCCTAAAATATCTAAATGTGCCCTCCCTCTCAGGGCACACAGCCCAATCCTATTTTCTCCCATATGATAGGAAAGAAAGAATCACATAACAAACACCTAGTGATCTTCATCGTGAAGAGCACACGGTCAAAACATTTTTTAAAATCCTATTTTGAAGTCCAGTTATGCAAAGAATTAATAAATAATGACACAAATTGATGAAAGTGTAGCTATCTTACTGAAACCAGTGTAAGAACACAAATGGAATTCATAATGAGCCACAAAGTCATCTGAGTCCAGATCAAAATGTCAACGTCTTGAGAAAAGGCCCAACTGGGAGCAAACTATGAAATCTACATGAGTCTCTTAAGGACGACTTAGGGAAGGCTTGGCCTTTGGTCGTTATTATGAGACTGATATGGTTTGGCTGTGTCCTCACCCAAATCTCGAATTGTTGTTCCCATAATTCCCACGTATTGTGGGAGGGACCTAGTGGGAGGTAATTGAATCATGAGGATTGTGCTGTTCTTATGATAGTGAATAAGTCTCATGAGATCTGATGGTTGTATGCAAGGAAGTTCCCCTGCACATGCTCTCTTTTGTCTGCTGCTGTGTAAGACCTGACCTTTGCCTTCTGCCATGATTGTGAGGTCTCCCCAGCCAAGTGGCACTGTGAATCCATTAAACTTATTTTTCTTTATAAATTACCCAGTCTTGGGTATGTCCATATTAGCAGCATGAGAACAGACTAATACGGAGACTTATTATGAGTTTGATAGGAAGGTGCAGAAACAGAGTTCTGGAGTCAGATTATGGGTGACAGCTACATAATCTTTTTTATTCCAGAAAATTGAAAGATTTTATATATGAGTGGAACTTAGTTTCTGTTCAGTGTTGATGTGGGAAAAAATGAGGTTAGATTTGTGAGCAGGAGCTGAATCATTAAAAGTCTTCAAGTCCTTGCTAAAGAGTGAGAACCTAAGTTTTAAGCTGTTGTTAAGTGATTTTAAGCCCTTGAGGAACACAGTTACCTGTCTAGAGATGTTAGTCTGGAAGCGAACAAGATAACGGGAAGTAAGAGGAGTGCAGGCTGATGGAAACATGATGGAAAATGGAAATATTTCAGATGAGAGAGGGTGAGGTTTTCACTGAGTAGAGGAGTGCAGGCTGATGGAAACATGATGGAAAATGGAAATATTTCAGGTGAGAGAGAGTGAGGGTTTCACTGAGTCATAAAGTTGTGGAGAGGAAGCAGTGAGTAGAATACTTAAGAAGTAGAATTAATAAAACTTTGTGACAGAACAGGTGATGGGTCTGGGAGAGAACTATATCTGGAACAGTGGATCTCAGAGTGCTCCATGAAAATAAGACTCTTTCTATCATAATACAGCTATGTTACTTTTCTTTTTTGCTTTTTTTGTTCTCTGCTTTGGTGCAAAAGCAGTAGTAAGTAAAACCGTAGCAAAAACAAGACAGCGGCTCCAAATAATAGTAGCAGTTCTATTATTTACAGTCACTTGGTTGCCTAAATAAGTAAACAGGCCAATTTTATTTTCATGTTACTTAAGAATATCATTGATGAAGCAGTAAAAAATAACATTTTCATTAAATCTATATCCCCAAGTATGTCTTTTCAGTATTCTATTTGATAAAATGGTAAGAACTCATAGAGCACTTATTACTTAAAAATGAAATAAGTGTGACAGGGTGCAGTGGCTCATGCCTGTAATCCCAGCACTTTTGGAGCTCAAGAGTTTGTGACCAGTTGGAGCAACATGGTGAAACCCAATCTCTACAAAAAAATGTTAGCCAGGGGTGATGATGTAAGCCTGTAGTCTACTGTAGGGATGAGCCCTACAGGGTCTTTGGGTTTTCCTCACCGTGTGCAGAGATGAGAGATCATAGAAATAAAGACACAAGACAAAGAGATAGAAGAAAACACAGTTGGGCCAGGGGGACCACTGCCACCAAGATGTGGAGACTGGTAATGGCCCCGAATGCCTGGCCGAACTGTTATTTATTGAATACAAGGCAAGTGGGCAGGGTAAGGAGTGTGAGCCATCTCCAGTGATGGGTAAGGTCACGTGGGTCTCTTGTCCACCAGTCGGGGGACCTTCCTTGTTTGGCAGCCGAGGCGGAGAGAGAGGGAGGACAGCTTACGCCATTATTCCGTCTGTGCATTCCAAAGACTTTTAGTACTTTCACTAATTCCGCTACTGCTATCTAGAAGGCCAAGCCAGGTGCAGAGGGCGGAACATGAAAGCAGACCAGGAGCCTGACCGCTGAAGCACAGCATCACAGGGAGACAGGACTCCGGATGGCTGCGGGCGAGCTTGACTGATGTCGCCTTCCACAAGAGGTGGTGGAGCAGAGTCTTCTCTAACTACCCCGGGGAAAGGGAGACTCGCTTTCCCGGTCTGCTAAGTAACCGGTGCCTTCCCAGGCACTAGCGCTACCGCTAGACCAAGGTCTGCTAAGTAACAGGCGTCTTCCCAGGCGCTGGCGTTACCGCTAGACGAGGGAGCCCTCTGGTGGCCCTGTCTGGGAGTGACAGATGGCTCATACTCTTGTCTTCTAGTCACTTCTCACCATGTCCCTTCAGCTCCTATCTCTGTATGGCCTGGTTTTTCCTAGGTTATAGTCGTGGAACAGAGATTATTATAATATTGGAATAAAGAGTAATACTACAAACTAATGATTACTAATATTCACATATCATCATTTATATTCTATTTCTAGTACAAGTATTCTTCTATATATTTTCTTTATTACACTGGAACAGCTCATGCCCTCAGTCTCTTGCCTTGGCACCTGGGTGGCTTGAGGCCCACAGTCTACTACTGGGGAGGCTGAGGCGGGAGGATCATTTGGCCCCGGGAGGCAGAGGTTGCAGTGAGCTATGATTGCACCACTGCACTCCAGCCTGGGCAACAGAGCAAGACCTTGCCTGAAAAAAAAAAAGTGAGATTGTCTTAAAGAAAAATAACTGAGCTGTTACTGAAAATGTAAAAAGTTTTCAAGTGAAAATTAAAATTTGGAAAACGTATCTGCATTCTTGAACATGACAATTTTTCAAAACTTACGGATTTTTCTGAGGAGATCAAGGGTAATATTACTGAATTTCAAAATATTTTATAATATAGTGTATCAATATTTGGAACATCTGCATTATTCAATGAACCAATATTTTCCCAATGGCCATGCCAATATGATAAAAATCATGATCAGTAAAAGACCCATTAACATTGAAAATAGACCTATAGGTTTTAATGTGATATAGCAGAAAAAGCATATGATGTGGTGTCATGCCTCCCATTGCAATAACCTGAATAAAGCATTTGTTTGCAGATCAAAGAAGAAGAACAATAGTTGGCCAAAAATACTTCATTTTTTTTTCGAGATGGAGTTTCACTCTGTCACCAGGCTGGACACAATCTTGGCTCACTGCAACCTCCACCTCCTGGGTTCAAGCGATTCTCCTTCCTCCGCCTCCCAAATAGCTGGGATTACAGTCACTCACCACCACGCTTGCTAATTTTTGTATTTTTAGTAGAGACGGGGTTTCACCATGTTGGCCGTCTGGTCTCGAACTCCTGACCTCAAGTGTTCTGCCCGCCTCAGCCTCTGAAAGTTCTGGGATTAGAAGCGTGTACCACCACACTTCGTCCAAAAATTATTTTAAATTATTCTTCCTTTCTAGAACTTCATGTCTGTGTAGGGCAATATTTTCTTCACACACTTAGTCAAAACAACATATTGCAACAGACTGAATTCAGAAGCAGATATGAGTATCAAGCTGTCTTCAGTTAAGCCAGACATTTTGCAAAAATGTAAAAACATTGCAACTCTTCAAACTATGTGGGGACTTGTTTTATTTTAAAATACTATTTTGTTAGCATGAACTGAATTTATTATTTTTAGGCATGTTACCTTTTTTTTTTTTTTTGAAGTGAAATCTTGCTCTGTTTCCAGGCTGGAGTGCAGTGGCGCGATCTTGGCTCACTGCAACATCCACCTCCTAGGTTCAAGCGATTCTTCAGCCTCAGCCTTCCGAGTAGCTGGGACAATAGGTGCCCATGACCACGCCCGACTAATTTTTTTTTCTTTTTTTTTGTATTTTTAGTAGTGATGGGGTTTCACCGTGTTGGCCAGGATGGTCTGGATCTCTTGACTTTGTGATCCACCTGCCTCAGCCTCCCCAAGTGCTGGGATTACAGGTGTGAGCCACCGCACCCGGCCAATATTTACTAATTTAGAAGTCCTAATTTCTCTTATGATAATCATTAATAGAAATAATACATATGAATAAATTTGGGTGAGAGAGAAAGGTTTGGAAGTTGTCAATTATTTTTCCTTTTAACTTATTTAAAATTCAAGTGTCATGTCTACAAAATGGCTGCAAAACTCATAAATTAAAATAGAGACCTATTCCTCCACACTCCTTTAGTTTCATTTTTTCCTTCTATCAGAGAGTTTATCACTATTATTTTTAGTCTTGTCATCCCAACTGAATTATGAAGTCCTGCAGAAAAAAAAGTTATGTGCTTTATTTTTGATTTATTTGTACTTAGCACCATGAATTGCTTAGGGATTGTTCTTTAAAATAAAATTTAAATAACATCAGGACAGGCATGGGGGCTCACACCTGTAATCACAGCACTTTGGGAGACTGAGGTGGGCAGATTACCTGAGGTGAGGAGTTCGAGAACAGCCTGGCCAACACTGAAAAACCCCGTCTCTACTGCAAATACAAAATTAGCCAGGCGTGGTGGCGCTCTCCTATAATCCCAGCTACTCCGGACACTGAGACAGGAAAATCGCTTAAAAGTGGGAGGCAGAGTTTGGATTGAGCTGAGATCGTGCCACTGCAATCCAGCCTGGGTGACAGAGCAAGGCTCCATCTGAAAAATAAATAAATAAATAAACAAAAACATCAGTTAGCAATGTTGTCATTTAGGCATATTTAGGCATTAATTCTATCACTTACCAGACCTTAATATTTTAAATTGTTGATCATGGAATTTGTTGATTTGAACCTGAACAACCTTAATTATTTTCAAGTAGTTTTTCCTTCAATTAAGTTATATTAATTTTATATTTATTTGAAATAATTTATTTCCATGTTTTTATTAAACTTTAATCAATGTTTTGTGCTTTTATAGCCATGTGAAATATTGATTTGTTTTTGAAATATTGATTTTAAAAACAATGCAATTAGTTGATATTTATTATTGAAAGTACTAGAATTTCAAAACCTTAATATTGATAATTATTGTCATTTAGAAAAATAAGACTGTTGTAGAAATGAAGAGAGAAGGAGTAAGAAAGGCGATTGCTTTTTATTTTGAGTATTTTCTTTTCCTTTTTTTCTTTTTAGTAAAAATGGGCTCTTGCTGTGTTGACTAGGCTGGCCTTGAACTCCTGGCCTCAAATGATCCTCCTGCCTCAGCTTCTCAAAGCACTGGGTTTACAGATATGAACCACTGTGCCCAACCTGATAATTATTTTTATGTCATATTGACAGGTTTTAGACTAATAAAACATTTTTATTTTTTTTATTATTTCAGATTCAGGGATACATGTGCAAATTTGGTTTAAGGGTAAATAGCATGGTGCTTAAGTTTGGGCTTCTATTGGTCCCATCAACCAGATAGCGAACATAGTACCTAATAGGAAGCTTCTCAGGTCTTGTGCCATTCCCTCCTCCCTCCTTTGAAGTCCTTAGTGTCTATTATTCCCAAGTTTATGTCTGTGTGTACCCAAGATTTAATTCCCACTTATAAGTGAGAACCTGTGATAGCTGGTTTTCTGTTTCTGCATTAAGTTGCTTGGGATGATGGGCACCAGATGCATCCATGTTGCTGCAAAGAACGTTATTTAATTCTTTTTTATGGCTGCATAGTATTCCATGGTGTACATATGCCACATTTTCTGTCATATTCATCATTAATGTGCACCTAAGTTGATTCCATGTCTTTGCTATTGTGAACATATTAGTGTATGTGTCTTTGGGTAGAATAATTATAATTTATTTTATTTTGGGTATACACCCAGTAATGGGATTTCTGGGTCTAATGATAGTTCTGTTTTTTGAGAAATCTTCAAACCACTTTCCACAGTGGCTGAACTAATTTGCATTCCTACCAAGAGTGTATAGGCATTCCCTTTTCTCTGTAGCCTTGCAAAAATCCGCGGTTATTATTATTATTATTATTTTGAGATGGAGTTTCACTCTTATTGCCCAGGCTAAAGTGCAATGGCACAATCTCAGCTCACTGCAACCTCCTTCTCCTAGGTTCAAGTGATTATCCTGCTTCAACCTCCCAAGTAGCTGGGATTACAGACATGCACCACCATGCCCAGCTAATTTTTTGTATTTTTAGTAGAGACCGGGTTTCATCATGTTGGCCAGGATGGTCTCGAACTCCTGACTTCAGGTGATCCACCTGCCTCAGCCTCCCAAAGTGCTGGGATTACAGGCATGAGCAACCACATCCGGCCAAGATGTTTTTTAAAACTAGAATTTTATACTCCTCATTAATATTTTTCCTTCCTGGTATCTCTTTAATTTCTTAGGGCACACACTGAGGCAGATGGCATCTCACTGTTAATCAAGAACAAAAAGCCTTAAATTATGCTAGAAACCACTATAGCAATGTCTGTGTCAAGAGGCTGTCTGCATATCTAAATGTACATTTCACAGTACAGCAAACACTTTTATTGAACTACATTATCTGTCAGATTGCCTAAGGCACTGAAATAGAAAATTCCTAGTTCTTGCTGTATTTTGCTAGGTTATACATTAGTTTCTTTTGTTGGTTTTTGCTATGAAAGGACCAAAAAGATAGAAACCACAGTATCTGTTTTAATATTCTTTTTTTTTTTTTTTTTGAGACAGGGTGACACTCTGTCACCCAGGCTGGTGTAATCACAACTCACTGCAGCCTCAACTTCCTGGGTTCAAGCGATCCTCCCACCTCAGCCTCCCAAGTACCTGAGACCACAGGCATGTGACACCACACCTGGTGTGTTTTAGTATTTTCTTGTACACAGAGGGTTTTGCCATGTTTCCCAGGGTGGTCTCAAACTCCTGGGCTCAAAGGATCCTCCTGCCTCAGCTTCCCAATGTGCTGTGATTACAGGTATGAACCACCATGCCTGGCCTTAATATTCTTTTCTATTTGTAAATGGAAAGCTTCAGAAAAGACCCTCAAACAGGACTATAAGTGTTTTCACAATACTGTTTGGTACAGCCAGATATTGATAGTATGTATAATGTAACTCAGGGGTCCCCACCCCTGGGCCATGGACAGGTATGTGTCCGTGACCTCTGAGGAACCGGGCTGCACATCAGGAAGTGAGTGGTGGCTGAGTGAGCATTATGACCTGAGCTCTGCCTCCTATCAGATCAGCTGCAGCATTCGATTCTCATAGGAGTACAAACCCCAATGTGAACTGCACATGTGAGGGATCTAGGTTGCATGCACTTATGAGAATCTAATGCCCGATGATCTGAGGTGCAACAATTTCATCCTAAAACTGTCCTCCCTGCCATCTGTGGAAAAATTGTCTTCCATGAAACCCATTTCTGGTGCCAAAAAAGGCTAGGGACCACTGATGTAACTTATATACCAGTATATCACATTTATTCTTACCTTTTGACATATATCCTGAAATTAGGTGTGAACAAGCTGTGGGAGTTAGGTGTGAAATTAGCTTAGCAAGTTAGACTCCCAGGACAATTCCCCACTTCACTAAGCAAATGATGGCTATTCTTAACTGACAACATCATCACGACCTGTCTCTTACTAACCATAACAGTATAATAGTATACACGGTAGGAGCCCAGCCAAATGTCTTCCTCCAGCCCCACATCCAATGGCTGAAATGTGCACCCTCTTACCTAAGGTTGTGTATCCCCTTCTCTGCAGCTACAGCCCACTTGGCCTGGGTTCCAAGTTTGACGTGGCTCCCCAGAGTTCTGTCATGGGAGTAAGCACCAGTCATCTGCAGTGTAACTCACTTGGCAACACATCCTTATTTTGTCTTCTTCCTGAACCCCGTCCCATTCTGTCCCTCCTTGACCAATGCTTCCAGTCTCCTTGGGATCATGTCCCAAATAAACTACATGCACTGAAATCTTTGTCTTAAGTTCTGCTCCTGGGGGAATCCACACTAAGACATGGTGAATCTTCCATATTTAGGAGGAACTGGTGCCTGTTGAAAATGAATTGTTGTGTTTGTTGGCGAAAAATTCATCTGTTATCCTAAAAGCAAACAAATCCCACAAGAATACTATATTGCCAATATGTCTGTGTCTCTAGCTGACCAGGTAAGGAGAGCTGCACTGATGCTGGAAATTGACAACACCTGTGAATGACTCTGGAGCCTTCTTGTGGACCTCCACCTTGGAGGAGGTGGCAAATGCTTAGTAGTCTTCCAGGAGTCAACATGTGGGCACTCACGCTGATCTCCATATCATTGTGGAGAGTCAATGTCAAGGCCCCTCTGCCCTTCAAAGCTGTCACATTGTATGTGCCTTAGATGTCACCTGCCAGAAGCAAGCCAGGTTTACCTTTGGACACCAACAGCATTCTTTCCTTTCATTCATCCTCCTGACTTATCAGACCCTGCTATGAATGACTTGATTGTTCTTCAACTTCCAATTTACCCTCAAAATTGGAAGATTTTCTACCCATTCAAAATAATTGATTTTGACTTTTTGGAAAGCAGCTCAAAAAGAGATTTCTTGAATAAGTAAAAATTGATCCATTTTTAGGAAGCTTGTATTTGGATGTGTCTGTTGGATGTACATATCATTTGTTGACATACCTATCACACTGTCTGGAATGACACCTCAGTTTTGTCCCTTTTCTTTCAAAGTAGGCCTTTGGGAATCACATTTACTTTTATATAGAAACATGATTTTTCCTCTCAAGAGCTTGTCTTTGTATTTAGCAAAAAAAAGCCTTCTCCATTCTGTAGAGAAAATCCCCAAATTGTGCAAAACCTCTGGAGAAAGCACTGAGCCCAGAAAATCAGCATTCCAAGAAAAGGACTCTGCACACAGTGTCTGCAATTCTGTGATGAACTGTTAAATGCAGATGTAGTGAAATACATAGCTTTTTCAAAATGTACAATATAGTGAATGGGTGTTGCCAATACATTATAATTACCCTGGACTTGTGTGAGGTGGATCTTTTGGAGGAGAACTGGCTTTCTCAGATGAAGGGAATCCTGTCTGTGAATGAAGAAGACAAGGAGGAATGTAGTATTCTTGGGAGAGGCTGCCCTGGTTATCATGATGTCAGTGGTCCTTTAACCCAAAAGCCCACAGATATTCTCCCTAACTAACCACAGAAAGTATAATTATTTACCACCCCCCAAGAATCTTGCTGACTTCATTTTTTCACTGAGTTCTTGTTCAGAAACGAAGATTGAGGGGAATTATTCCCAGAATCAGCATGCAGTACTCACCTTTGAACCCTTTGAGCTCTTTGCTTTCTTTCACAGCTTGTTTTTTCCTGCCTGTTTTTCCTGTCTTCTTTCAGGCTAAGCCTCCCTCCTTTTGGTAGAGGCTTTTTATACCATTTGGGAACAGGTTTGGATAAGCTACCTTAATGAAGGACCACATATCCCTCCAGAGATGATAAAAGACTTTCTGTCTTTTCTGGTAAGTCCTTTCTGGAATAAAGATCAGTGTGTTTCTGGATCAGTCTTGGCGTCTACGGATTTTACATTCTGTCTGTGAGGCATATATTCTAGTGAATTTACTTTCAAATTTGTCTTCATGCCTAGTTTAATATTTTGATCTGCATGTCTAGGTTAAAATTTTTGTGAACGATCTTATCTTTGTTTCTTTTGATTTTATTTGATTCTTTATCCTTGTTTCTGAAATTCTCCCAAGAGCAAAAGTAAACATTCTAAATGGTGGGTCAGAATGGCTAACTAAAAGCTGCCAGGGCAGTTGTCACCCTCTAAAACACTGGCCTAAACCCCTGGAATTCCATGAGAGGATTTATAGGATTTTCTCTACTCTTGCAAGATTAATGAAAAACAGAACGCTCACAGGGTGCGGTGCCTCATGCCTGTAATCCCAGCACTTTCAGAGGCCAAGGTGGGTGTATCACAAGGTCAAGAGATCAAGACCATCCTGGCCAACATGGTGAAACCTCGTCTCTATTAAAATACAAAAAAAAAAAATTAGCCCGGCATGGTGGCATGTGCCTGTAGTCCCAGCTACTCGAGAGGCTGAGGCAGGAGAATCGTTTGAACCCGGGAGAGTGGAAGTTGCAGTGAGCCGAGATTGTGCCACTGCATGAGAGCCTGGTGACAGAGCAAGACTCCATCTAAAAAACAACAAAAAACAAGAAACAAAACAAAATTGCATTCTCCAACATTAAGGCATGCTAGGTTTTCTGGGACTCCAGCTGGTTACATATTATGACTCATATGTTTATCTTGCTGGGAAAATTACATCAAGGAAAATACAGATCTCCAATAGTCATTATTTGAAAAACCTGCAATTATAGAGTTAACATGTAGAGATTTCTAAGTTCTCTGCATACCTCTCTCTGTTCTTCTTCTACCCATTCACTGTTTATGGAATTCTGGCCTGTGCCCCAAATCTTAAAGAGTTTTCAAATTAATGGCTTTATAAATTACAACAGCTTCATGATATCAACAAGTGAGATAATCTTTAGAAATATAAATTTAATTCTAAAATACCGTGTGTTAAGAAAAAATAAGAAATATAAATTTAGGTTTACCTGACTTACAATTGTGTACAATGACAGAATACATCATTAGAAGTTAATATAAGAAAAAAAACTAGATAAATATTTATGAAATTAGGCTCTCTGATCAAACAGGTCAAAATCTTGGCCTTACAGCAATAATCTAAGGTATGTCTAACACAAAAATTTTGCTATTTCTGCCACGCAAAAGCAAAAATTATAAATAATTTAGAACCGCTAAAAATCTTTCCTGTCCACACTTGCTAGTCAAGCAAATCACACTGGCAAACAGAAAATAAATTTGCTAGTAATTCAAGGTTACATGGAGATTTTATTTTTCTTATACAATTTATCCAGTCCCAGCTTAAATGTAAACATTGAAAATATAACCCTAAACTCATCTGAAACTTAAGAAAAGGTGAAAAAGTTTTTTTAAAAAGTCAAACTGCCATGGAAACTGCTTTACCCAAACTGTGGTTCACAGCACTTATTAGATTACCTATCGTGGCAAATAAATTTTAGCCATGTTTTACATTTTGCCAAAAAATATAATTTGGGTCCAACTGTCTTTTATAAACTGGTGGATTAGTATTACTATCTCATGACTAAAAGTCTAAATAAAAAAAAAAACATAAGATCTGTTATTTGTGTGTGTATATGTGGTCAGATGTGTTTATGCATATACACATGTATTTTGTTATATGTTTTGTCTACATGGTAAAATCTGGTGTAGTGATCCTGAAATCCCTTAAGAAAGTCTATTTAGATAAATGACCTCATGAAATATACAATAATTAACCTAAATTCTTTTTAATTCATGTGACTTAATCTGCGATAAATAAACTATTCTAAAATTAGTGGTAAAATATAAATAGAAATAACTTCAAAATGGTCAATGTACGTTTTACCCAGGTTTACTGGTCAGATGGTTTTATATTTGTCTCTTCTAGAAATCTGTTATTATGTGGGTGGCAAGCCACCCAGGTGCCGAGGCAAGAGACCAAGGGCAAGAGCTGTTCCAGTGTAATAAAGAAAATATATAAATTAAGAATAGTTATACTAGATATAGATCATAATATGATTATATATGAATATCATTAATCATTAGTTTGTAGCAGTTACTCTTTATTCCAATATTATAATAATCCTCACTATGCCATCATAACCTAGGAAAAACCAGACCATACAGAGACAGGAGCTGAGGGGACATAGTGAGAAGTGACCAGAAGACAAGGGCTCCTTGGTCTAGTGGTAATGCCAGCTCTGGGAAGACACCTGTGACCTAAGCGAACCGTGCTCTAGCAGTAGTGTCAGTGCCAAGGAAAAGCACCCACTACTTAGCAGATTGGAAAAGGGAGTCTCCCTTTCCCCGGGGAAGTTTAGAGAAGTCTCTGCTCTGCCACCTCTTGTGGAGGGCCTGATATCAGTCAGGCCCACCTGCAGTTATCTGGAGGCCTGACCATCTCCCTGTGATGCTGTGCTTCAGTGGTCATGCTCCTAGTCTGCTTTCATGTTCCATTCTGTACACCTGGCTTGCCTTTTAGATAGCAGCAGCAAAATTAGTGAAAGTACTAAAAGTCTCTGATATGCAGAAATAATGGCATAAGCTGTCTCTCTCTCTCCCCACCTCAGCTGCCAAACAGGGAAGGGCCCCCGTCTGGTGGACACGTGACCCACGTGACCTTACCTATCGTTGGAGATGGCTCACACTCCTTACCTTGACCCCTTGTCTTGTATCCAATAAGTAACAACGCAGACTGGCATTCAGGGCCACTACTGGTCTCTGTGTCTAGGTGGTAGTGTTCCCCTGGGCCCAGCTGTCTTTTCTTCTATCTCTTTGTCTTGTGTCTTTATTTCTATGATCTCTCATCTCCACACACAGGGAGAAAAATCCACAGACCCTGTGGGGCTGGTCCCTACATTATTAGTCATAATTTTGGTTGCTATGTTAACTTTTTCCTAGAGTTACGTCTATGTGGATATGTTACATGGATTTTTATACCCATATAACTTTCTATATTGCTATAAAATTGTTCTCACCCATAAAATACTGATAATACTGATATGTGACAGATTTCTTGCTGCCTAAGTTTTCACTATAATTTAAGGTTACTACAAGTTTAAAATTCTAATTAATATAGGGCAGGTACAGTGGCTCATGCCTGTGATCCCAGCACTTTGTGAGGCCGATGCGGGTGGATTGCTTGAGCCCAGGAGTTTGAGACCACTCTGGGCAACATGGTTAAACCCCGTCTCTACAAAAAATATAAAAGTTAGCCAGGCATAGTGGCACACGCCTGTAGTCCCAGCTACTGGGGAGTCTGAGGTGGGAGGGTTGCTTCAGCCCAGGATGTTGAGGCTGCAGTGAACTGTGATTGTGCCACTGCACTGCAGCATGGGTGGCAGATTGAGACCTGTCTCAAATAAAGTAAAATAATAAAATTGTAATTAATATGGATAATTCTTTTTGTGGGGTGGGGGAACAGGATCCCACTCTGTCACCCAGGCTGGAATGCAGTGGCAAGATCATATCTCACTGCCACCTCGAACTCCTGGGCTCCAGCAATCCTCCTGCCTCAGCCTCCCAAAGTGCTGGGATTACAGGTGTAAGCCACCATGCCTGGCCTAACTAATATATATAATTCTATATAAAAGTGTGCCTTAAAAAGTAGGATGAGTTTTTAATAAGAAAAAATGTATAAGAAATGCATACAAATATGCTCTTTATTGAGAAAGAAATAATAATTTTATATAATTTAAAGGTTATTTAAAGGTTGTTTCAAAATATTGATTAAGGAAAGACAGTGAAATGTTAAAGAAGATCCAGTAAGTAGAAGAGAGAGAGGTGAAGAAAGTTATTGATAGGGAGATGGAGACAGGAGAAGGTTGAAAAGAAAAGAAATATTTCACATGACAAAGAATCTTGTGTGGTAAATTTTCATCCTAAACTAAAATGGCTAGTTATTTAAGAGGGAAAGTACAGGACAAAGTGGAAAACCCAAGCACGTCAACAATGGTCTGAGTAACTCATTTGTGAAAAGAGAATTTATGCAAGATATTTTGCCTGTGACCAAGTTGGTTACAATCAGAAGAAAATTAAATTATAAGTCTTACTAAGGATTGAGCTTTGGCATTAAAAATACACTAATACAAAACTGAAAAAATGTGGTCACCTATGTTAGAACAACAAGGTTTTCTTAAAGTATTGATTTAGTTTTCATAAAATTGCAAGAGGTTTTGAGTTTTAATTCTGAAATCTGTTCCTTAACAGCCATCTTCTAAACTACAGACAATTTCCATTTCTGTCAAATATCTTTTTGAGATCTATTTAATTTGCCTAGTTTGAGGATGGAGATTCAGCTCCCCTTTTTTCTTGCCTAAAAATGCATAACATTTTGCTTGGCTGAGGTGATAAGTTTCCTTCAATCTTTTGTCAACTCTTGTAAGTTTTTTCCTGTGATTCCAACTCTGCTGTTATGTCCTGATGCTGAAATATATGTCCTGAAAAATCTAGAAAAACAGTGTTTTACTCCAACATAATTTGAAATTAATAAAAGTCTGATTGTCCTGATGTGATGTAGTCAGTCATGATTCTGGTTTAATGTAACCAAGTTTCATTGTCAATTGGGACCTTTGATC